>NC_000006.12:22787272-23090303 GCF_000001405.40 Homo sapiens
GACTTAAAAATGGCGGCACTTCTCTGCAGTTGATGCCTTTCCTGGCTACCTGGCCATCGAAATTCTCCAAGTTATTGCTTACAAGAGCACATGAAAGCTAAAGAGAGATGTGTGTGGAAAATCGCACAACTACAAATGGGGTAGAGAGAACCCAGTCTTGATTAATGAAAATTTAAATTTTTATAGAATATTATTTTTAAATAAATTTGGTCCCCGTAATTTTAAATAATATGAGAATAATGGTTATTAGGCCTATTTTAATACATGATTCAGAAACAGTTATAGTTATTATGTTGATGCATGCGAAAGTGCTGCTTTTGTTGCTGCAAAAGCATAGAAGAAAATGTGGTTGCCAGATATCTAACCGAGTCAAGTAATCCCTTTGACATTAGCAATTTGCTTAACATCTCTTTTCCTCACATAAACTATGCTGAATAAATTATAATCCAACCTATGTTAGAACAAATAACAACTCTGAATTAGTGTGGACTAATAGAGATTTTTCTGTGTATCGTATCTACCATATTCTCCCAGCTTGAACTTCTGTTAACATTTATGTGCTAGTTATTTACATGGACTTCTTTAGTAGATATATTTGGCAAAGGGAAAATTATAAGCCCACAGCTATGAAAGATAAAGATAAGAGGACCTCACCGATCTGGACTATTCTAAACAAGGCTTTACTGAGCTTTCCCATCGGCCCTCCCACACACACACACCTTTCTCCATTACAGGCACATCTTAATGAGACAACCTAATGGAAAGGCAAATAAAATAACAGGCACATGATCCACATGTGTTGATGTGGGCTGGCAAAAAATCAGATTTCTTAAAAACACAGCATATAGCCCTATGACTTGCAGCCTCGTTTGCAAAGGTGTGAACACAGTCTGTTCCAGCATCCACACTGTTAACCTTTTTCTTGACAAGAAACTAAGTATAAAACACGTGAATAAGCATGTGCATCTACTTGTATGAGCACGCACATGCGAAGAAGCACATGCTGTATTCACATATCCTGTATTGGACTAAATCGTATGCTAGTAAACATATAAACCGGGTAACAGTGATTTATAGACAACAATTACCAAACTCGAAGGACCATAAGTCATAGAATTGCTGTTTGAATCCTTTGATAATATATAGTCATAAGAAAAATGAGTAACAATGTACGTATGCATGTGAAGGCAGCAGGAAATGTAGCTAAGGACTGGAGTTTATGTGTGTGACTGCTTTGCATTTTTCCAAGATGCAATTTTATGAATGCTTATTTGGTTTTGATTTTTTTCTAATATGAATAGATAAATTTAACCTCACCTTCTTAATTGACAAAATAAAATTGAGCATCTTTTGCTAAGTAACCTTTAAGGGTGTATTAAACTATATTTATTCTTATATATTAGACATCAAAGTATATGCCATATATAATATTATATCATATACTATACCTATGTATGTGTGTGTCTATAGAGGTGAGCAGATGACCATAAAAGCTGCACTTAATATGGGGCCCCCATTAGTTTTCCAGGGCTGCCATAACAAAATACCACAGACTGAGTAGCTTAAACAACAGACATTTATTGTCTCAAGGTTTTGGAAGCTGTTAATAGAAGTCTGATTATTAATGTGTTAGCTACGTTGGTGCCTTCTTTATGAGGAAGACTCTATTTCAGGCCTCTCCCCTAGCTTCTGGTGATTGAGATATTTTGAGATTCCTTGGCTTGCAGACACATCAGCCTGGTCTCTGCCTTCACGTTCATGTGGTATTCTCCCTGCGTAAATGTCTGTGTCTGAATTTCTCTTTTTATAAGGACAACAGTCATATTGGATTAGGGGCTCATTCTACTCCAGCATGACCTCATCCTAATTTAACTAATTCATCTGCTATGAACCTATGTCCAAATGAGGCCACACTCTGAAATACTGGAGGTTAGAACCTCCACACAAAAGTTTTGTGGGGATGCGAGTAAACCCATAACAGGGCGTATAGATACAGCTTTTGTGAACCACATTTAGTTAACGGCTTTTGGAGGGGCTGTCTTCACTGAAAGAAGCCTCTCTAGTCCCACTCTCATTCTTAAGACAGAAGCGAATCTGTTCATGTAGATTAGACTGAAGGCTACCTTTACCCAAAGCATGGGTGTGTACCACACTTGAGCAGTAGTTATGCTAAGGATTACCTGAAGCCAAGAAACCATGCAAGTCATAGTCTGGCCACAGTTCAGGAATGGAATGAAACTAGGCTCAGTGATATAAGTTCTGGCGTGAGTTTTGGAGCTGGAACAGTGGAGACGTGCAGGCTCAGACGCTACTCTGAAGACCTGATGAAGATTTCTCAAATTCCGGTAAATCAGGAAGACTCAGGCTGTCAGAGCTGTGTCTTTCTATGGCTTAATGCCAAGAAGGCCATTTGTATCTATCCAGACTATAATTTTTCCAAATGAGAACTATGTTACTATTACATGGTAACTTGTTTTGAAAATTTATATCAATACTACTACCAGAGATGAAAGTGTGTCAGCCAATAACATCTTGTTACAAAATAATTGGAATAGAATGCCTACCTCAACACTAGTTCAGTTCAGTATGGAGGGAATAGAATTTGATGAATTCTAATTCATCAAACTCAGGACTCACAAGACTATATATCTTGCAAGTTTTAAATCCAATCCATCCTATTTTAGTAGAAATACAATGTTTTAATGTCAGATTTCTAATGTTGAAAATACAGAATGCAAAACAGAGTTGCACATGATCTTTACATAATAAGTGAGTATGGAATGGATTTTGAAACTTTGTCCTGTGTGTATTAGAAAGCAGAAAATGATGGATGGCCCTTTGGAAGAAGTGAACTTAAAAAATACATTGTTATTTGGTAAGAGGTGGACAGCAGTTTGGGTGAAGCTACATGAAAGAAAACCAAGATAAAAATTAGACAAAAAATTAAAACATTATTGAAGTGACTAAAACGGATTTAGTCTGAGATGACCTTTTGCTCGCTGATTATAATAAAGAATATCCTCTTTACCTGAAAGATGAGAAGATTGTACCGACCTACACAACTAGTGAAATATGAAGAACAGAGAACAAATCCTGAATAAAGTCCACAATGACAGGATTTGAAGAAGCATTTTAAATATTGTAAGAAATAAAATAAGTATGTTCAGTAAATTATATTATATATGGTGCCCTTTTTCTTAGTGTTGGAATTTTACTATTTGCATCTGTCAGTGTTAGAGTTATTTTATTGAAAATTTATAGAAACAGTTTTACCTTTTTTTTTTCTTCTTTGAGACAGAGTGTTGCTCTGTCTCCCAGGCTGGAGTGCAATGGCACGATCTCAGCTCACTGCAACCTCCACCTCCTGGATTAAAGCAATTCTCCTGCCTCGGCCTCCTGAGTAGGTGGGACTACAAGCGCTTGCCACCACGCCTAGCTAAATTTTGTAATTTTGGTAGAGACAGGGTTCCTCCATGTTGGCCAGGCTGGTCTCGAACTCCTGACCTCAGGCAATCCACCTGCCTCGGCCTCCCAAAGTGCTGGGATTACAGGCATGAGCCACCATGCCTGACCCATAGTTTTACTTTTAATAATTTGGTTATAATCTCAATCCTATTTAGGAATACCCCAGCTGTTAGATGAAGCACCTGAGTTTGTTAGATCACAAAACACATGAAAAAAATCATGGACACCACCTCCGGATCGTAGACCATCTGCTGGCTGAGTTTCATACGGCCTCACTAGGAATAGTCACACAATTCCTCAGCATCTATAAACAGAATTAAGCGGCCGTTATTCATTTAAAAACGAGTTGTTTTATGGATTGAATTATGTCCTCCCAAAGATATATTGAAGTCTTCACCCCAGGTACCTGTGAATTTGAAGTTATTTGGAAATAAGGTCTTTGCTGATGTAATCAAGTTAAGGAAAGGTAATTAGGGTGAGCCCTAGTCTAATATGACTTATGTCCTTACAAGAGAAGGAAAATGTCACGTGAAGAAAAAGACACACAGGGAGAGGCTGAGGAGGAAAGTGTCATGTGAAGAAAAAGACACACAGGGAGAGGCTGAGGGATAAGATGTGATAGGAGAGGCAGGGACTGGAGTGAGACAGCTACAAGCCAAGGAACCCTGAGGGTAGACGGCCGCCATCAGAAGCTAGGAAGGGGCAGGAAGGTTTCTACCCAGACTGTCAGATGGATATGGCCCTGCTGATGCCCTGATTTTGGACATCTAGCCTCCAGAACAGTGAAAAAATAAATTTCCATTGTTTTAAGCCACCATTCTTTGTTACAGCAGCCATAAGAAACTAATACATTGAGTTCTGATATTGAGCATTTTGCATTATTTGACAACACTTGTTATTACAGAAACCTACGGCCTGCACAAATCAAATTGCAAACTCCTTGACAGCCAAAAGTGCTTTCTTTGTCTTTGGCCTTCCCACTTTAAAAGTACATGTTTACTCACATACACATATTTTGATTCTTTGTGTAACAAGTCATTTCTTTGGTGGTTAAGGATATACCATGTATAAGGATAGTGCCTGCTTATGCATGATAACAAATCAATAAATAGGTTAGGCTCATATAGTCCAAGTGACAGTGTGTTCAGGAATATTTTTTGTGTGTATTTTTAAAGTAGTTGGACACCTAAGCAAACTAGCTAGATAAGCCTCTTTCTTTCTTTCTTTCTCTTTCTTTCTTTCTTTCTTTCTTTCTTTCTTTCTTTCTTTCTTTCTTTTTCTTTCTTTCTTCTTTCTTTCTTTCTTTTCTTTCTTCCTTTTTTCTTTCTTTCTTCTTTCTCTCTCTTTCTTTCTTTCTCTTTCTCTCTCTCTCTTTCTTTCTTCTTCTTTCTTTCTTCCTTTCTTTTTTTTTTTTTAACAGAGTCTCACACTGTTGCCCGGGCTGGAGTGCAGCAGTGCGATCTTGGCTCACTGCAACCCCTGCCTCTCTGGTTCAAGTGACTCTCCTTCCTCAGCCTCCCGAGTAGCTGGGACTACAGGTGCCTGCCACCACACCCGGCTAATTTTTTGTATTTTTAGTAGAGACGGGGTTTCACTATGTTGGCCAGGCTGGTCTCAAATGCCTGACCTCGTGATCCACCTGCCTCGGCCTCCCAAAGTGCTGGGATTACAGGCATGAGCCACTGAGCCCAGTCTAAGCCACATGTTTCTACACTTCAGCTTCTCTTTCTGGACTCTCTATCTAAATTATCACCATCTCTTCTTCCAAATGAACACATCCACCCCTTCGTGCTGTTTTTTGGATGTACAAAGCTTCTCATGGTGCCTACCCAAGCCTGGCCTCACATGAAATGCCCTTTTCCACCTTCCCATTAAGGGCATAAGCTTCAGAATGGAAATGCCAATTTCTTCAACGAGGTTATATCTGCTGGGTGGAAGCAATTTGATTAAATCAATTCACTTTAATGAATTAATGGCAACTTATTTAATTTTCCCAAGGATATTTACATTTTGAAAGAGGAAAATTATTAACATAAATTCTTATTAATAGAAATGTAGACAGCATGTGAAACCAAAATCACATGGTGTAGAGATTTTGAAGGAGATGATCTTTCACATTATTCACTACACCCTACCATTAGAAAATAGCCCACACAGCCAGGTGCAGTGGCTCACTTCCATAATCTTAGCACTTTGGAAGGCCGAGGCAGGTGGATCACTTGAGGCCGGGAGTTCAAGACCAGCCTGGCCAATATGGTGAAACCCCATCTCTACGAAACAAAAAAAAAATTAGCCGGGCATGGTGGTGTGAGCCTGTAGTCCCAGCTACTTGGGAAGCTGAGGCAGAGAATTGCTTGAACCTGGGAGGCGGAGGTTGCAGTGAGCTGAAATCAGACCACTGCCTTCCAGCCTGGGCAACAGAGTAAGACTCTGTCTCTGTAAATAAAAAAAGAAAAGAAAAGAAAAGAAAGCCCACTCTAACATCTTCATCAAAGCAATTGTGCTTCCCCATTCTGATCACTTGTGAGCACATAAAGAGAGACAATATTATGAAGATGTTGGGCAATTTTTTTTTTGAGTGGGGGATTCAGTGGGTATATGTGCAGATTTGTTAATGGGTATGTTACATGATGCTCAGGTTTGGAGTATAGATGGCCCTATTGCCCAGGTACTGAGCGTAGTACCTAATGGGTAGTTTTTCAGCCCATGTCCCCTTCTCTCCCTCTCTCTTCTAGTAGTCCCCAGTATCAATTGTTGCCATCTTTGTAACCATGTGTATTAAATGTTTAGCACTCTTTTATAAGTGAGAACATGAAGTATTTGGTTTTCTGTTTCTGTGTTAATTTGCTTAGGATAATGGCGTCCAACTGCATCCATGTTGCTGTGAAGGACATGAATTAATTATTTTTTATGGCTGCCTAGTATTCCATCGTGTATATGTACCACTTTTTTTTAACCAATCTACCATTGATGGGCACTTAGGTTGATTCCATATTTTTGTTATTGTGAATAGTGCTGTGATGATCATACAAGTTCATGTGTCTTTTTGGTAAAATGGTTTATTTTCCTTTGGTTATATACTCAGTAATAGAATTTCTGGGTCAAATGATAGTTCTATTTTAAGTTCTTTGAGAAATCTTCAAACTGTTTTCCACAGTGGCTAAACTAATTTGCATCCCCTCCAAGTGTGTATGCATTCCCTTTTCCCTGGAGCTTCACCAGCATCTGTTATTTTTTGACTTCTTAATAATTGCCATTCTGACTGGTGTGAGTGGTATCCTTTAGAGGTTTTGATTTGCATTTCTCTAATGATTAGTGATGTTGAGCATTTTTTTTCATGTATTTGTTGGCTGCTTGTATGTCTTCTGAGAAGTGTCTGTTCAGGTCTTTTGCCTATTTTTTAATTGGATTATTTGTTTTTTTGCTTGTTGATTTCTTTAAGTTCCTTTTAGACTGTGGATATAAAGTCTTTGTTAGATGCATAGCTTATGAATATTTTTTCCCATTCTGTAGGCTATTTACTCTGTTGACAATTTCTTTTGCTCTACAGAAGCTTGTTAGTTCGGTTAGGTCCCAATTGTCAATTTTTCTTTCTGTTATAATTGTTTTTGGGGACTTACCCATAAATTCTTGGCCAAATCTGATATTGAGAAAGGTATTTCCTAGCTTTTCTTCTAGATTTTTTATAGTTTGAGGTCTTACATTTAAGTATTTTAATCCATCTTAACATTTGTATACAGTGAAACGTAGGGGTCCAGTTTCATTCTTCTGCATATGGCTAACTAGTTATTCCAGCACCACTTAATAAATAGAGAGTTCTTTCCCATTGCTTCTTTTGTTGACTTTGTCAAAAATCAGATGGTTGGGCCAGGTGCAGCGGCTCATGCCTGTAATTCCAGTACTTTGGGAGGCCGTGGTGGCTGGATCGCTTGAGGTAAAAAGTTCCAGACCAGCCTGGGAAACATGGTGAAACCTCATCTCTACAAACAAACAAACAATAACAACAACCAAAAAACCCAAAAAATAATTACCCATAGTGGCATGCACCTGTATTCCCAGCTGCTTATGGGGATTGAGGTGGGAAGCAGGAGGATCACTTGAACATGGGAGGTCAAGGCTGCAGTGTTGCCGAGTTCCAAGTTTGCACCACTGCACTGCAGCCTGGGTGACACACTAAGGCCCTGTCTCAAAGAAAAAAACAAAAAACAAAAAACAGTCAGATGGTTTTAGCTTTGTGTGGCTTTATGTGGCTTTATTTCTGGGTTCTCTATCCTGTTCCATTGATCTTTGCATCTGGTTTTGTCCAGTACCATGCTGTTTTGGTTAGTGTAGCTTTAGTATATAGTTTAAAGCAGAGTAATGTAAGTCCTCCAGCTTTGTTCTTTTTGCTTAGGATTGCTTTGGCTATTTTGGCACCTTTTTGGTTCCATATGAATTTTAGAATAGTTTTTTTTCTACTTCTGTTTAAAATGACACTGATATTTTGATAAGGATAGCACTGAATCTGTAAATTGCTTTTGGCAGTAGGACCATTTTAACAATACATATTCTTCCAATTCATGAGCGTGGAATGTTTTTCATTTTTTTGTGTGTCACGTGTGATTTCTTTCAGTAGTGTTTTGTAGTTTTCCTTATAGAAATCTTTCACCTTCTTGGTTAGACGTACTTCTAGATATTTTATTTATTTTGCAGCAATTATAAATGGGATTGTGTTCTTGATTCAGCTTTCACCTAGAGTGTTATTGGTGTATAGAAATGCTACTGATTTTTGTACCTTGATTTCATAGCCTGAAAGCTTACTGAAGTAGCTTATTGGTTCCAGGAGCCTTTTGGCAAAGTCTTTAGACTTTTCTAGTTGTAGGATCCTATCATCCATGACGAGAGATAGTTTGACTTCTTTTCCTATTTGGAGGCCTTGTCTTTCTTTCTCTTGTTTGATGGCTCTGGCTTGCAATTTCAGTACTGTGTTGAAGAGGAGTGGCGAAATTGGGCATCCTTGTCTTGCTCCAGTTCTCAAGGGGAATTGTTTCAGTGTGTTGTTGCCCATTAAGTGTGTTGTTGACCATGGGTTTGTCACAGATGGCTCTTTTTATTTTGAGTTATGTTCATTTGATGCCTAGTCCGTTGAGGGTTTTTTTTTTTCTCTTCATGAAGGAATCTTGGACTTTATCAACGACTTTGCCTGTCTCTATTGAGATCATCATATGATTTTTGTTTTTTATTCTGTTTTTATTCTGCTTGTAACAAAATGTGGTGAATCACATTAATTTAATTTATTTATTTATGTTTAACCAAACTTGCATCCCAGGAATAAAGTCTACTTGATCATGATGAATTAACTTTTTGATGTGCTATTGGATTCAGTTTGTTAGTATTTTGTGGAGGATTTTTGTAACTATGTTCATCAGGGATATTGGCCTAAAGTTGTGTTGTGTGTGTGGGTGTGTGCCAGATTTTGGTATCAGGATGATGCTGGCTTTGTAGAATGAGTTAGGTAGGAGGCCCTCTTCCTTGATTTTTTTTTTGAATAGTTTCAGTAGAAGTGGTATCAGTTCTTTGTACATCTCATAGAATTTGGCTATGAATCCATCTGATTTTTGTACACTGATTTCATAGCCTGAAACCTTACTGAAGTAGCTTATCAGTTCCAGGAGCCTTTTGGCAAAGTCTTTAGGGTTTTCTAGTTGTAGGATCCTATCATCTGTGACGAGAGATAATTTGACTTCTTTTCCTATTTGGATGCCTTTTCTTTCTTTCTCTTGCTTGATTGCTCTGGCTAGCAATTTCGGTACTGTGTTGAAGAGGAGTGGCAAGAGTGGGCATCCTTGTCTTGTTCCAGTTCTCAAGGGGAATTGTTTCAGCTTTTGCCCATTAAGTGTGATGTTGGCCATGGGTTTGTCATATGACATTGACATATAATATGTCAATATATATTACATTATATTAAATTACTGAATTAGGTTTTATATATGTTATATGTATTATATATATAACATATACATATGCATATATATATATATATAAAATAATTTACTGATTCAATTTCAGAGCTTATTATGGGTCTGTTCAGGTTTTCACTCTCTTCCTGGCTCAATCTTGGGAAGTTTGTGCAGTTCCAATATTTTCTTAATTTCCTCTAGATTTTCTAGTTTGTGTGTATAAAGGTGTTCATAATAGTCTCTGAGGATCTTTCATATTTTTGTGAGATCAGTTGTAATGTCATCTTTGTCATTTCTGATTGCCCTTCTTTGGAATTTCTCTTTTTTTTCTTTGTAAATCTAGCTAGCGTCTATCAATCTTGTTTATTTTTTCAAAGAACCAATTCTTAGTTTCTTTGCTCTTTTGTATGGACTTTTTGGCCTCAATTTTGTTGAGTTTTACTTTCAGATTTTAGTTATTTCTTTTCTTCTGCTGGCTTTGGGGTTGATTTGCTCTTCTTTATCTAGTTTCTCTGGGTGCAATGTTAGATAATTAATTTGAAATCTTTCTAACTTCTGGATGAAAGTGTTTAGCACAATCAACTTTCTTAACACTGCTTTAGCTGCATCCCAAAGATTTTGGTAAGTTGTTTCTCCATTTTCACTAATTTCAAATAAATTTTTGATTCTTGCCTTAATTTCATTGTTCAACCAAGAGTTATTCAGGAGCAATTTGTTTAGTTTCCATTTTTCCCCCCTTTTTGTGTAGTTTTGAGAGATCCTGGTATTGACTTCTATTTTTATTGCACTGTGGTAATTTTTTCAAGCTTATTGGGACTTGCTTTATGACCAAATGTCTGGTTAATCTTAGAATATGTTCCGTGTGTGGATGAGAAGAATGTATAGTCTGTGGTTCTTGCGTGGAGCATTCTGTAGATGTCTATTAGGTCCAGTGGGTCAGGCATTGAGTTAAAGTGCAGAATTTCTTTGTTAGTTTTCTTCCTCAATACTCTGTCTAACACTGTCAGTGGGGTGTTGAAGTCCCCTACTATTATTGTGTGGCTGTCATTTTGTAGGTCAAGAAGAACTTGTTTTATTAATTTGGGTGCTTCAATGTTGGGTGCATTTATATTTACAATAGTTAAGTCTTCTTATTGAATGAATTATTTATCATTATGTAATGCCCTTATTTGTACTTCCTAATGGTTGTTAGTTTAAAGACTGTTTTATCTGATATGAGAATAGTGACTCCTGCTATTTTTTTTGTTTTGTTTTCTGTTTGCATGGTAGATCTTTGTCCATCCCTTTATTTTGAGCCTGTGGGTTAAATGTTGGACAATTTAAGATGCGTATTTGGATTCATATTTAATGTAAATGGAATTTTTAGGGTAAAAACATTTTTAGGGATTACAAAAAGGTAGACCCAGGCTTAAATTGTGGATTTATCCTATAGGGCATTATTGAGCTAATTACTTAACTTCAGAGCATCCCAATATACTTCATGTAAAAAGAAAATTAAATGACAAGGCACATATTAACTGTCACAGTGCCTGACTTTTCTTCATTCGAGATTATTTATTAAGTGCCTACTACATCCCAAACACATGGTATATGATTAATAAGAGATGCTTTTTTTTCCTTTCCTTATTGGTAAGCACACACACAAAACATGCAATAGCAGCATGGCATTGTAAAGACTCAGAAATAGGCATGATCAATGATGCCCAGCAAGACAGCACGTATTTGCCAATTAGATGGTTATAATTTCTTCTCTACCATACCACTTCCAGTCTTGTATATAGTTTTCCTTAATTAGACATCGGATTTAATAATTTTAATACAGAAAATTTTCACTTCAGTTTAGTGAAGGAAACATATTTTATTAGTTTTATTAAAAAATATATTCTCTACATGGCATATAAACTGAAAAAATCTATTTCTTGAAATCATGAAGCAATAAAATTAATATATTTTTAGAAAGTTTGATCAACTAACTGAGCTATATAAGACATTACTTTTTTTTCATTTTATATGAAGACAGCTTAGGAACTAGAATTGTCTTACTTCTCAAATAAGATGTGAAATATAAAGATAAAGAATGTTTAAGGTCATGGTTTAGATTTACCCTTAAGCTTGTATCAATAATTAAGGTCTGAAAATCTTCCAGGCAACAATTCCTTTTGTTTTCAAAGGTTAATTGTGGGGTTTTCCTATGTAGTTCTAGCCTTTGAGTAAATATTCTGTTAGAAAATTAGTTAGCTAGCTCAATGTATCTGATTATTTGTGTCTGTTTGCTAGCTGTAAAAAAAAAATGCTTGGAAGTTCATCTGTAATGTCTAGATACTTATAATGTGTCTATACTCTAGTTTTATGGTGACTTTTTACATGGTTTGTACCACACAAAAAAGTTACATGGCTCAACCAATGAGTTCCACATTGTCTTTGTTTTTTTTTCAGGCTGACCTACTGCTTTGCCATCTCCTCATTTATATGTTAATTTTAAAATAAGATAATCAGTAATGATGATCAGTTGTAGTCATCTCTACAATTTTGTCAACACTTTTAGGTCTAGGCTAATATTGGTGTGCTATGATTTGGGTTGACCTTGGTCCACTCACTTCATGTGGTTAGGCTTTAGATTTCTCATCTGTAAAATAAGAAGTTAAGATGCCAGATCTTTTCCTGATTGAACTTCCAGTGGTTCTATTACTGGAATTTCTGTGCTGGGCAATGTTGCTGCATTCATAGGTGCACTGTAGAGGTAAGTCTTCCCCCAGGGGATGCTTTGCATTTGGGCCCATTTTCAGGTAGTGACAAAATCAGTTACAGGGACTAGTTTGGGAAACTCATTGGTTGTGACATGAGGGATAGCAGAATAGGTGCAAGTTTGTTCTGAAAGTTTGCCTTTGGCAACCTAGAAAACTGTAGAGTGTTTGGGATTATTTATGACCTACTTATGGGTAAGACTTGAGGAGCCAGGGCAAAGAAACAGAAACTGTCCCACAGAGGTCTTTTCTAGGGCCACACTGGCTTTGAACTACATACTTTAGGTTGCTAGTTAGATATTCAAGCTTAAATGATCTAATTTTGTCTCCATTTGTCAAAGTAGTGAAGGAAATGACTAGATTTTTATTTTGCTACATTCTATATAAACATGTCTGTTTAACTCAAACTGGTACCTCTGTGTGTGTGTGTGTGTGTGTGTGTGTGTGTGTGGTGTGGTGTGTGTGTGTGGTGTGTGTGTGTGTGTGTCTGTGTGTGTATTTAGTCAACACATTTTTGATGAGAAAATACTGTGTATCAGAAACTACCTTAGGTTGGTCATGGCAGAGAGACTCACACTAAATGGCAGAGAGACTCATTACCATGAGTCTCATTACCATGGCAGAGAGACTCATTACCAAAGGAGAGGTTGGCTCTTTCTTAGAATCTGTATGTCTTATACTATAACAAAGAGAGAGATACCATTTCTGAAAATGCAGCTTTGAGGCCCCAAATGTATTAAATCTATAGAGTGCTGTCTCTGTGTTTCTATTTCTTATTTGTTTTCTTTATGAACAGGGCTGTTTTTAATGTTCAATTTGTAATTTCCTAAGCATTAGTACCCTAGTGTTATCATATTATGCAAAGGTAACCAAATTAGTAGACTGAGCATGTGATAGTGTGTATTGAAGACTCAATCACGCTGTTATTATCTTGTTCCCTTAACATGTAATTAGGAGAAATAAAATGGTATCAAGAGATAATATTGTACAGTTTTAAAATACATGAATGCTGACTAGCCTCCTTTTCTTTAAAACCAAAATGCCCACAGAGCCTAAAGCTTCACACAGAATGATCTGAAACAATGTTTGCCTTAGCAAGTGATAGTTTAATGTATATCATCTCTTAACTCTAGTTTTCTCCCACTTAGAACACACTTGCTTACTTAAATGTTAGCCACTTGTTTATGCCGATAACTACCTCATGGAAACAGCCTCTTCCATGAACTTTTTCCTGCCACCCACAGGCCATGAAATTGCACCTGTTTCCTGGTCATTGTAAACAATTGCTATCATGCTTATTGCTTTTTACTGGCCTTAAGAATTACTGGGATATCTATTGGCAACTCCTAGCAAATATTGTTCTATATACCTATATGTAGGTATATAGAAATATATATTACAAATGCATGTATTTCTAACTTGATAAATGGCATTGGCAATTTTGATCATTAAATCCCTATTGAAGATAAGCCATGGGCAATATAGCTATAGCATACATAATTTGCACAAACATGATAAAAATAATTATATAGATATAATGCATAAAATATAAAAATATATGTATTTAAGATATAGATACTTAAAATATGCATATATTTAAGA
The DNA here is from genome assembly GCF_000001405.40 of Homo sapiens. Lineage (NCBI taxonomy): Eukaryota > Metazoa > Chordata > Mammalia > Primates > Hominidae > Homo > Homo sapiens. Next base: position 22,801,023 of record NC_000006.12, read on the forward strand.
TATAAGACACAAGATTTGGACACATGAGATATGAATGTATCCAAATGGTTTTCAGTAAAATAGAAGTTAATTCTTCTATTACTGGGAAGTTAATTTGATGTATGCTAAGTAAAAGCAATTTAAAAACAAATTATAGGACTATTCACAATCTTTCATATGTAATATGTGCCATGGATATTTAAGATGATGATGCTAATCTTATTAAAAGGGGTAGGCCATCTCCAGTGAATATCTTGATTGAGGGACTGGAATTTGATAGGATATGTTTCAGGAAACACCAAATATTCAGGAAATACTAAAGGGGTCAATTTCACAGTTTGCAGCTGAAGATACTGTGATAGTATGTCTGTCAATAATGTTCTACTTCCTGGTCTTGAGTAACTGTTTTTACATCTTGATGTAGTCCCAGAAAACATCCAGCGTTAAGCAACTAACTTATTTAACAATTAATCATAATAATTGAAGAAGTTGTACAGTTCATTAAATCAAATATTTATTGACCTCTGAATAAATGTTCATACAAGGAGAAATATAAATGTAACCAATGTTCTCATAGCATTGACTCCAGGGACTCTAAGGCAAAGAGCATTGTTAGAATATTTCTCCTGTTGTAACCTGAAGAAAGCAAATATGTTTGAAATTCTAGCCCCTTTCCAAGTATTACCCACCCACCAACCCCCAAATACACACACAATTTTGAGAGTCCAGAGAATTAGTCCATATGTTTTACCCAACAATCTTTCAAATTACCTTATATAAAATATCATCTTCCTCTTTTCTGATTCTGTTTAAATATTTCTGCTTCTCAGACCTCTTAATGTTTTGCAGGCTCTATGAATGTGATTTTCCATGGATTCTGGTAATGAATAGTATTCAATGAGGATGAATGTGGGCTCATTATTACTCAAGTTACCATAGTTACCTGTCTGTCATTGGCACATACTCCCCTTGCAACAGAGCCCTGGGAGGTTACCCAACACCATATGGGTTACCAGGTTCCCATGTGTCCACAAGGTCTTGGCGGCAGGAGGTGTTACCATGGTGTGCTTAGTGAAGATGCTCCCATGTCAAAGGCATGTTTTCATACCATTGTGCCAAAATCTCAATGGCCTACAGTCATGCTTTGTTATTCAAATCCTTCAATATTCTAAACTCGTGTTCTCCCTCAACTACACTAAATGAATCCTTAAGCAGTATTCCCATGTGCTTCCAGTATCTTATGGGTAAAGTAGTCCTCTTTCAGTTTTCACTCTCAGGAGCTTCTCATTCTAGTTCTCAGGTCATGGGCACCAAGTTAGAGGACACATCTTAACAAGTGAGAGTGACAAATACAATGAATGTAACTCACTCCCATTCATCTTCTTTCATATGATTAGAGTCAAATCCCCCACACTCAACTCTTCTTCCAAAATCTTTCTTTTTTTGAAATAATTTACTTTTTAGTAGGTTCCTCAGGCTGTCACACACACTGATCATGAATAGGTATGCTCCACAAGTCTTTAAGAAAAATCCAGACAATCTGTATTCTGACACGATTAGAGTTGGAAAGAAAAATTTACTGAAACATTAAATTACATGATCTCCCAGGACTTTTATTTTCCAATTGAGTTAAGTAGTGTGACCTATCTAGGGTAGGAATGTAGGGCAAAAGCAGAAGGTTATTGAAGATAGCTTGTTTTTCTGCCATTTGTGAATCTAAGTCAGTGAAGAAATTTTACTGAATATGTAGGGAAGGGGGGCAGATGCATTTGAAGAGAGAAAGGGTGGAAATAGACTGAGAAAGGTTTTTCCAACTAAAGGAAAAGATGGTGGTTTCTGAGATCTGTGAGGATTTGGGATTCAAGATCTACTTTCTTACAAAACAAAATGGTGACTGGAATCTAGGAAAGAGCTACATTGAACCCTAGTGACTGGAGCTCCTAGTCATAGAAAAGCCTCCTATCCTACACAACATGGGGACTTGTAGATTTCAGAGCTGTGCAGGCATGGATAATGGTTTTCCAGGTGTAACTCGGATGGGTCAAGGACTGGAAGACACAAGTATTTGTCTTCCATCTAAAATCTCCATCTAAAACCTCTGAATGATTGGATGAACATGAGAGAAGAAGCCTCAATAATTACCACAGTTGAATTTTCCACCAGTCTGGATGGTGGGAGCTTAGAGTTTAATTTATTTAAAGAAAACAAAGATTCTGAGGTTAAGACTTGAGCCTGCAAGAACAACTTAATGAAGTTTAGAATGCAATCCGTAAACATTAAGGCATTTAATTAGAATTTTTGGCTTCATGACACATTTGATGATTTTCAACACTGAGTCTACATCTTTTAACTGTGTAAGACGGTATACCTCAAATGTCAAAATGAGTGCAAACTATAAGCACTTCAAAATTCCAAAGCAGAGCATACATTTGATCATAAGTATGAGAGCAGCCCTCAGATGAAATAAATGACCTCTCTTGGGCCATAAACAAGGGACAGGTATGGATAGCGGAGAAGAAAGGAGACTACTTCCAAGTAGTCAAACAGCATGAGCAAGACTGAAGGCAAAAAGAATCATGTTTTCAGGGAGAGTGTGGAGACCTGCCTAACAGAGGAAAAGCAGAGGATGGGGCAGCAGATTCACTAAGGAAATTGTTAGGACACAACTCTGAACCTTGGAATCTCAAGTTACACCATACCTCCCAAACCTACTTTACAGCAGACACCAATCAGTTCAGCATTTAAGTGAATTAAATGAGTGAGCTGCCAATTAAAATTCCCTTTTATATGTTGCTTTATAGAAAAAAAAGCTGTAATAAGTAATAAATATCAATGTATTTTCAAAGTAAATACTCTGTGCTAGGATTTGCACTGATGTTTACTTATACTATATCCAATCCTTATTATAAACAGGCATAGGAGGTATTAGTGTCTTCATTTTACAGATGAGAAAACATGGACAAAGAAAGATTGAGTGCCTTGTTCAAATCAAATAGATTGAAAGTATTAAAGCTATGAGCTATGAATCCTTGGCAGAACAATCTCTGGCTAAAGCCTGGACATTTTACTTTAACAATACCACATTATCTCTCAGTTTTAAAATATTTTCATAACTTACCGACAATACAATAGATGGATTATTGTATTCTGGGAGAACATATAATGAAAATAATTAATTGAATGTAAATAAATAGATGGCTATTTCCTATTTTCTTTCAAATAGAATGTGATATTTGAGGAATTTTAACAATAAAATGAAATTAAGCTTTTGGTTGATTTAGAGCAATTCTATTGTCAGGTGGAAGATGCATAGAATTTACACAAACTACCAAAGCCAAACAAAGTAAGAGGAGAGTAAAATATGAAATAAGAAGAGCATAAAATTTCACTATGCTGAGTCGCAGATTATTTTTTATTTAAATTAAAATTATTTAAAAAGGGCAGAATCAGTTATTTCTACAATGTGGATAACAGGAAAAATAATAGAAAATGAATGCAGTGGGTTGATTGATGGTCCCCCAAAAGATGTGTCCACCCACGAGCTATGAATGAGCCTTATTTGGGCACGTGACCTCATTTAGAATAAAGAGTCTTTGCGAAAGTTAAGGATATCGAGATGATTATCCTGGATTAGAGTGAACCCTAAATCCAACAACAAGTGTACAAGAAGAGGAGGGGAGGGACGAGAAGAGGAGGGGAGGGGAGGGGAGGGGAGGAGAGGAGAGAAGAGAAGAGGGAGGGGAAGGGAAGGGAAGGGAAGGGAATGGAAGGGAGGGGAGGGGAGAAGATGGGATTCAGAGGAGAAGGCCCTGTGATGGGGGCAGAGATTGCAGTGATGCTGCCACAAACTAAAGAATTCCTGGAGCCACCAGAAGCTGGAGGAGACAAGGAAGAGATCCTCTCTCAGAGCCTCCAAAAGAAACCAATCCTGCCAGCACTTTGATTTTGGATTTCTGGCTCCACAACTGTGCGAGAATAAATTTCTGTTGTTTCAAGCCACCCAGTTTGTGGTATTTGTTATGGCAACTTTAACACATTTACAAACAAACAGCCCTAAGAAATAATTTACGACGACAATATGTGGTTTAAACCACAAGTGTATTACAGTTCAAAAAACTCTCTGTTCTACGTGGAATGACTCCAGTCTTTCGCCAGATAGTTTTCCCATGGACAAAAGAGGAAAACCAAAAAACAAGAAATAAAATATATTTTCTAAAACTGTGAGTGGTATACTGGGATTGAGCCTCAGTCTGCTCCTAGAAAGTTTTCTAACTGAATTTTCTTAACAGCAAGAGTGGACACTTTGAGGAAGTACCAGAATTTTCTGGAATTTACTGTTTTCTGGTCATTAGAGAATTTCATCCATTTCATATGAAGCTTATTTTGAAAAACGAGTCATCATATGCTTGAAAGAACAAATGCATGTATTTATCCACCCACAAACTCAGAATTTAGGCTTCATTGGCTCTTACCTTTTCCTTAACTTCAAACACAAATGCATTTAAGTGACTAGTGCACTCATGCACATGTGAAATGAAAGGCCGATGATTCAGTTATGATCACACACAAATGCCCCACAAATAAAGCATCTACTATAAATTTAATTAGTTATATGATTTATTTTGTTTTTATGAGACCAGTACTTTGTTATTTTTAAATCATAGAAACACTTGATTATGTAACCACCATAAAAAAGAATCAGTATTCTCATAAATAATAGTGCCCACATTTAGAAACAGCAAATTAGCAAATTCTGGAGCTCATCTGTCAGTACCATATTTTCAGACTATATATCATTCTCATGGACACACAAATATTTTAATTATCCTCATCATTTATTGGGAAGTTTTCTCCCTTTTGATTTAAAACATAACACCTCTAGCAGCCTTCTAAAATTCAAACCCAAATAATACAGCATTGTATGGTCATGCGAAACAACTTTTACCTCCTCTTCCATCTACCCTTAGGCTTCAGAGATGCTTTCTGGCCACTGTTTGGATGCTCAAAGCCCACTCCATCTATGAAGCCTTCTGCTGTCATCCTGATCAGAAATCAGTGTTCTCTAAACATATTTTACTGTTATGTTACTTTCAAACAACTTACCACGTGCTGCTATGGGTTGCAGTGATTTACTGATGTTGTACTGCTCCTCTTTTTAGGTATAAGCGTCTTAAGTAGAGGTGGTATGTCACTTTCACTTGACATGTCACCTCCAATGACTGGCAGTCAATACCTGAGGTACCCTGTTGAGAAGGATCTGAAGGTGCTGTTCTGGCTCAGCAGGGGGAAAAAATACCCTGATCCAACAGGCATTTGCAATAGAAGTGAATGGTTTTGCTCTTTCTGTTCTTTAAGGTAGGCCCATAGTGCATTTATCTATTTCCAACAGTGCTTAGCACTGGGGTATATGTTTATTTCCTATAGGCCTCTAATTAGCTTCAACGTAAAAATCCCAAAGTCCACCAGAACTCTACACAAACCAGTCACACATGCCTGAGTTCTTGCTCCTGGAATTCTAGGACTGTTTTCCTTTAGTCTGCTTCAAACTTCCTTATTTTGGCTCCCTTCAGTCCCTGATTTGCTTAGCATTGCATTATGGTTTCTTTTCTTGATTTATAGTCTTTTGAATTAATAACCGGTTTCAGATTATTTATTATGAAAAAAACTACCAAGTAAATTCTTCTGTATTTCTCAAACTGTAATTTCAAGTACAGAAGCTGCCCACCCTCCCATCTGAGACATCTGTGACCCGGAGGAGTTTTCCACAGGCTGAGGCTGCAGCCATCACCCATCATCCCCACAGATTCAGGCAGGAGGACGACTTGCACAAAAGAGGCTGTGCATGAATAGTGCTCGACAGATTTTTAAAAATCGGTTGATTTTTAAAAGTGTGTGTGTATTATGGGGACCTGTGTACCATAGATCCTTCTCCCGGCTTTTTGTGAAAAATGTGATACTTTATACTTGAGTTCTTAGATAAAATTAATAAAACATTGAATTATCAATCTGTCTTCACATTTTCAGTGAAATATTTGGTACTGAGGAAAAAAAAAAACAAAACTGAACTGACCCTGAAGTCTGTTTTGAATAACACTTAGGTATGTGGTTTCAAAAAACAATTTGACCTTCACAGGAATAAAAGGCCTTTTTTTTTCCTGCTTTTATGCTTCATTTGGATGATAGCAATTTTTTTTGTATAGCACAATGTCTTTTAAATACAATTTAACCAGCAAGTCAAAGAAAAAAGAACTCTTGTATACATTCAAGATGTTCATAATTTTAAAAAGGAGAATAGTGTTTTTTGTTTGTGTTATTTTTTACCTTTCCACAGGCCTTCATAAATGATGTTACAGATATATTGTGTTTGCCACCACCAGGACTTGTTGATTGAAAAGAAAATAATCCATTCATAAGCCTTAGGGTATTTTGTAGGGCACCATATGCTCTGGGATTGGGTATTAACACAGCATGGCAGGCTGCTATGTCTGTCAGTTTTTTGGAAGCTGTGGAAGTGAGGAGGATGGGAATAAGAGTTCACACACACACACACACACACACACACACACACGTATTAGAAAGGCAGGGCAATTCAGGTAGGTGTTATAGTTCCAACCAGGTTCATAACAGAAAAAGTTAGTTAAAGCAGGAAGGTATGGGGAGATTTAAAAAAACTTTACAAACTTTAAAGTTGAGGGTACTCAACTTCATCAAATGGAGACGGAGCACTAACAGTTTTATGGTATGTAGATAGACAAGAATTCTTGACTCCAGTAGGGTAGAGCTAAAGGTCAAGGTGCAGTGGTTCAGAACTCACAAACAATGAAGACACAACTTAGTTTTAGCCTAAGCCAAGAAATTCAGGCAAGAAAAACTCAGCATCCAGATTTTGTAGTTTGCAAAACAATCATGGCAACCAACAAGAGCAGGGAAGGGAATGAAGTTACACAGGAAGTAGGTCTCAGTCTCGCTTTATATGGCTATTGCTCAGCACAAGAATAGCAGCAGAGGCAGTGGAAGAGTCAACAACCCATTGCGGAGGCCATTCAGGGAGTGCTTGTGAGTCGCTTTCTCCCTAATTCCCTGACAGTAATGGGTAGGGCACAGGCTTTGGAGTCACACCTGTTGTAAAACTATTCAAGGTAATTAACCCTTTTGAATATCAGTGTCCTAAAATATAAATGGTGGCTAATACCTGGTGTTATTGTGAATACTAATTGACACATTGTATGTAAAGTACTTAGCACATTGCCTGGTATATAATGAACCCCTAGAATAAGAACCCCTAAATATCTAAATATTATTACTATTATAGATGGGAATTCTGAGGATCAGTGATTTTAGGTAACTTGCCCAAGTCACTGAAATAGTAAACAACTCAACACAAACCAGTCACACATGACTGGTCTCACAATCAGATTTGTCTAAATCCAAAGCTTCTACTTTTTCAACTAAATCACACTGGATGTAGGTATAATTCAGCCCAAATTCACAATCAGATTTGTCTAAATCCAAAGCCTCTACCTTTTCAACTAGATCACACAGGATGTAGGTGTAATTCAGCCCAAATTCAGATGCTGTGGGGAAGAATGAATTCATTCTTGGCAGTATCAGTAACATGGCTACTTTGTAATGATAAGTCAATTTCCCTAAACAAGAACTACTGTGGCTTCATGCCAAGGTGGGTAATAAAATTGTACTGTAATGTTTAAGTTTTGCTTGCTTTACATATTTGAGTGACTTTAAATAATCCCAGCAGCATTTGGTGCTATTACGAAAATAATATTATATATGCTTTGGATCCTATGCACAGACTACATACTTTTTTCAGGTTCACACCATGAAAGAAAGGTGAAGGGGCTATTTCAAACATCTTAAAGGCGCTTTTGTGGAAGTCAGGTCAAGACCTATCATTGGAGTTTCTTAACATTTTGTGTGTGTTAACACATATATATGTTGTATATATTATATATGTATAGTGTATATATAAAAAAACTGTCCTGTGAATTTCTCTCCTCACTTACTTAAACTTGCTATTTTTCTGACATAATGTGCCAGTCATACAAGGTGAATATGGAATATGAAGTTATACAGTGATGAGTGGGTGACACATTTCTCAAACTCTGCCCAAGACCCATTGCTATGTGTTTCTCTGGAGTTGGTATGAAATTAACAGTTTCCACCTGGAGCCTAATATATACCTATTTATTCAGGTACACATCACTCTAATAATCACTAAAGGAGTTTTTGGTGTAAAACTCCAGCAAGACAGCAGATCCTGTGACTCTTTGGATGCTAACTTTGATTTATGAAGAGAGAAAAATAAGACAATACAAAAAAATGCTATGCTAGTCAGAAACCAGTGAAGTGAGATCAAGAATAACACTTTGTTCTGATCAGTGGAAGGTCAGAACTAATCCTCTCTCTCACCCTCATTTTGAGACCATCAGAGTGCAGTTTTGCAGGGCAATGATGAATTGGGGGTTGTCTTAGCTTGCTAGGTGCTGTAGATCTCATTTACTTTATTTTACAAGTCATTTGGCACAATGGTACTAATGACAATGAAATTGGATTCCTGCTACTTAAAAAGGCCTTCTACTTTGTGCATAAATACCTGAGCCCAGGCATTCAGTTGTCAGGGGAAGGCCATTATCCAGTTACCACCTCTAGTTACAGTAACTTTAATTTGGTTTTTTAGTATTATAGTCAGTCCACACATAAGCAGGATGAGGCAAATATCTGTACAATACTTGCAACTAGTGCGAAAATTCTCTCTTTCCCCAGAATAGTATGTCCACTTGCATGTAACAGAATCTCAACTTTTGGCCAGGTGCAGTGGTTTACGCCTGTAATCCCAGCACTTTGGGAGACCGAGGCGGGCAGATCATGAGGTCAGGAGTTTGAGACCAGCCTGACCAACATGGTGAAACCTTGTCTCTACTAAAAATACAAAAATTAGCTGGGCATGGTGGCATGTACCTGTAATCCCAGCCACTCAGGAGGCTGAGGCAGGAGAATTGCTTGAACCCGGAAGGCAGAGGTTGTAGTGAGCTGAGATCACGCCATTTCACTCCAGCCTGGGTGACAGAGCAAGACTCTGTTACACACACGCACACACACACAAAAAGAAGCTCAACTTTTTCCATTGAAGAACCATTTATTTCTTTTAAAACTCCATGCCTATATATATACATGTATTTTAATATGCTGCTGTTTGTTATAAGCCATTTACTTATTCACGTGAACTGTATTACCTCTTCCAGGACAATTAGCAATGACTTTTAAGTAACATGAAAGAAGGTCGTGTGTCTGATGATTCTCTATTCCATATGTGATACCTGGTACACTCTTATGCACATGCACTTAAGAAATGATTTTTGATAAAAATAAGTACTTGATTTCGGTGAACCATGGAAATGCTCAAGTTCCAGGTACTATGGGATGGGAAATTTTGATGGTAGAAGAAGGAAGAATAATAATGGAAAACAAAGGCACAAATGAGATATGGTCAAAGATTAGTAGGTAAATAATAAATATATGGATGATATGGATGGGGCGAGTGTGAGTGTTACCAAAGACAAAATCGGGGCATAGGAAGAGAATGTAGGAAATATTTCCAAGACTAAATTCACAGTTATGCCTTAGACTAATCCCAACAGAAAGATATATAAAATCTCGCAAACTGAAGCTTTTCTTAGCAATCAACTCCAAATTGAGTGTTTCAAACACACACCTCTCCTCTCTAACCTGATCCCACTGTGGTAATCAATTTGGATTATTTTCAAAAGTATCCCTTCTAAGGTTCCTGATGAAATATGCTGAGCACATTTTGTCCCCTTGAAGTAAATGTGCTTTCCATGGTTCATTAAATCACCATGTCTCCAGTATAATTCAATTCTAGCCTCATATACACCTTAGAACTATGCCACATATTACCAAACAACACCCCTCCTCTTTACTATCACAGAATTTGATCACTGTATTTTTTTAAAATAAAAGGTAGTTTTATAAATGAGCTTGCTCCATTCAGTTCTGGCTCTTCTAATAACCAGCTTCAAGGGCTTCAATTTATTTAACAATGCTGTCATTTAAAGTATGAATTTTTAATCTGCGCACGTGCGCATGCACACACACACACACAAACACACACGCACAAGAAAAACAGAATTTAAAATACTTCCACTTGCCACTGATGACTCTGAAGAGTTAATATACTCAGAGTGGCTATTATTAATATTTTGGGCCAGTCAAAATGTGTTTGCCTTGAAGGAGTTTAACCACAGAAGTAGCTGATTAAATAGGACTTCTTAGCTTTCTGCTCAGATAATTCCATGCTTTGGCTTCAAAAAGTGACAGCTTAGAAGCTTAGACACCTAATAATCCCCAGGTGCTCTGAAATCACAAGATGCCACAACACTGAAAAGCTGAGGGTTCAAGTGGAAAGTGTGGAAATAATATGTTTACAAGTGAAAATGTGTATAGTGTCCATAAGCAGTTTGCATCCCTGCAGACATTAGAAATTATTATTATTTATTTCCAGATAGAGCTCATGATTACATTTCTTACATTATTCCACATATTTCTTATACCACTATTGACAGATCTTTCATATTACACCCTGTAGTTGAAGTCACATTCCTTGCCTTAGCAACTAGGCTATATCAGAAAAAGGGGACATTTTATTTCAAAGGCCACACACATTTATACATTTCTCCATGCAGCATTGATGTATTTGTGTATCATGTGCCATGCAGTACTCTATATGTTAATGAAAAAGATAGGCAAGGTCTTTGTGCCAAAAGACTTTACACACAAGTGGAGGGAGATAGATATTAAAGAACTGTACCAATAAATGAATGATATAATTTTAGAGAGAGATGGTTCTAATAAGAAACAAGCCAGAGTGCTAGGATAGAGAGACATGGGTGCAGGTGGTCAAGAACAGTTTTGAAGACAAGTTGTCATTTGAGTAGAGGTGTGATGATGGGAAGAAGTCAGTTCTGAGGTCTCAAGTGATAATGCCCAGGGCCATGAAAAGGGAAACATAGAAATGAGCTGTCATGGGGCGGATGCGGTGGCTCACGCCTGTAATCCCAGCACTTCGGGAGGTCGAGGCGGGTGGATCACGAGGTCAGGAGATCGAGACCATCCTGGCTAACACAGTGAAACCCCGTCTCTACTAAAAATACAAAAAATTAGCCAGGCCTGGTGGCGGGCGCCTGTAGTCCCAGCTGCTTGGGAGGCTGAGGCAGGAGAATGGCATGAACCCGGGAGGCGGAGCTTGCAGTGAGCCGAGATCGCACCACTGCACTCCAGCCTGGGCGACAGAGCAAGACTCTGTCTCAAAAAAAACAAACAAACAACAAAAAAAAAAAAACCAAAGAAATGAGCTGTCATTATCAGGGAATACAGAAGACCATTGTATTAAGAGTAGGTTGAATTATAAAGAAAGTGGTAAATGAGTTGGAGAGAACAGGGTGGGGTGAGAGGGAAAGACAAAATACAGTCTTGCAAGAATTTGGATTTATTTTAACGATATGATTTGGATTTTTAAAAGCTCACTCTGACTTCTGTTCAGGAGTGGTATTATGGGGCCAAAGATGAAATGAAAGAGGCTGGTTATTTTACACCCTAAATCTTATAAAGATCAAAACTATAAGTTTCGAGTGTTGCTAATTCTCCTTCTTTGACGTATGAATGACTGTGGCTGTGAAAGTGTACAACATCATTGCTCTATTCTACTCAATGTGAAGAAAGGAAGCCCAGCCTACAGTTCTTACTTGTTTTATGTTGGGGTGATAGGGATGGGAGAAGTTTTCTTCAGGTCCATTTCACAGGAGTTTTGTGCATGATTTCAAAACAAGAATAACTGTCACAAAATTTTTGTTGGTAGCACTTTCTGAGTCAGAGTGGTAATGCAGAAATAACATAAGGCTTGGAATCCGATTTAGAATCCACTCTCAACCACTTATTGGTTATATAATTTTTTTGTAGTTTTTGATTTTTGTGGGTATATGGTAGGTGTATATATTTATTGGATATATAAGATATTTTGGTACAGGCATGCAATGCGTAATAATCACATCATGGAAAATTGGGTATCCATCCACTCAAGCATTTATCCTGTGTTTTGCGTTCCAATTATACTCTTTTAGTTATTTTAGAATGTACAATTAAATTATTGTTGGCTATAGTCCCTCTGTTGTGCTATCAAGTATTAGGTTTTATTTATTCTTTCTATCCTCCCCCAAACCCCTAAACCCCGTCCTACCCTTCCCAGCCTCTGGTAGCCATCCTTCTGTTCTCTATCTCCATGAGTTCAATTGTTTCGATTTTTAGATCCCACAAATAGGTGAGTACATGCAATGTTTGTTTTTCTGTGCCTGGCTATTTTAACTTAACATGATGATGTCCAATTCCATCTATGTTGTTGCAAATGATAGAATCTCATTCTTTTTATGGCTGAATAGTAAGTACTCCATTGTGTTTAAGTACCACATTTTCTTTATCCATTCATCTGTTGATGGATGCTTAGGTTACTTCCACTTCTTGGCTATTGTGAAGAGTGCTGCAACGAATATGGGAATGCAGATATCTCTTTGATACACTGATTTAATTTCTTTAGGGTATATATCTAGTAGTGGGATGGTTGGATCATATGGTAGCTCTATTTTTAAATTTTTTTAGGAACCCCCAAACTGTTCTCCATAGTGTTTGTACTAATTACATTCCCACCAACAATACACAGGGGTTCCCTTTTCTCTGCATCCTGGCCAGCATTTGTTATTACCTGACTTTTGGATAAAAGCCATTTTAACTGGGTGAGATGATAGCTCTTTGTAGTTTTGATTTGCATTTCTCTTATGATCAATGACGTTGAACACCTTTTCATATGCCTGTTTGCCATTTGTATGCCTTCTTTTAAGAAATGACTATTCAAATCTTTTGCCCAGGATTTTAAATTAGATTACTAGATATTTTCCTATAGAGTTTTTGAGTTCCTTATATATTCTGGTTATTCATCCCTTGTCAGATGGGTAGTTTGCAAATATTTTCTCCCATTCTGTGGGTTGTCTCTTCTCTTTATTGATTCCTTTGTTGTGCAGAAGCTTTTTAACTTGATGTGATCCAATTTGTTCATTTATGCTTTGGTTGTCTGTGCTTGTGGGTATTACTGAAGAAATTTTTGCCCAGATCAACGTCCTGGAGAGTTTCCCCAATGATTTCTTGTGGTAGTTTTATAGTTTGAGGTCTTAGATTAAGTTTTTAATACATTCTGATTTGATTTTTTATAAGGCAAGAGATAGGGGTCTAGCTTCATTCTTCTGCATATGGATATCCAGTTTTCTCTGGACCATTTATTGAAGAGACTGTCTTTTCCCAAATGTATATTCTTCGCACCTTTGTCAAAAATGAGCTTACTGTAGGTGTGTGGATTCATTTTCAGGTTCTCTATTCTGTTCCATTGGTCTGTGAGTCTGTTTTTTTTTTTTTTTTTTTTTTTTTTTTGAGACGGAGTCTCGCTGTCGCCCAGGCTGGAGTGCAGTGGCGCGATCTCGGCTCACTGCAGGCTCCGCCCCCTGGGGTTCACGCCATTCTCCTGCCTCAGCCTCCCGAGTAGCTGGGACTACAGGCGCCCGCCACCTCGCCCGGCTAATTTTTTGTATTTTTAGTAGAGACGGGGTTTCACCGTGTTAGCCAGGATGGTCTCGATCTCCTGACCTCGTGATCCACCCGCCTCGGCCTCCCAAAGTGCTGGGATTACAGGCGTGAGCCACCGCGCCCGGCCTGTGAGTCTGTTTTTATGCCAGTACCATACTGGTTGGTTGTTTTTCCAGAGCTCTGTAGTATAATTTGAGGTCAGGCAATGTGATTCTTCCACTTTTTTTTTTCTTTTTGCTCAGGATAATATTGGCTATTCTGGATCTTTTGTGATTCCATATAAATTTTAGGATTGTTTTTTCTATTTCTGGGAAGAACGTCATTGGTATTTGGATAGGAATTGCACTGAATCTATAGATTGCTTTGGGTAGTATGGACATTTTAATAATAATGATTCTTCCAATTCATGAACATGGAATATCTTTCCATTGTGTGTGTGTGTGTGTGTGTGTGTGTGTGTGTGTGTTCTGTTCAATTTCTTTCATCAGCATTTCATAGCTTTCATTGTACAGATCTCTCACCTCCTTGGTTAAGTGAATTCCTAGGTATTTGATTTTATTGTGGCTATGGTAAATGAGAGTATTTTTTATTTCTTTTTCAGGTTGTTCACTGTTAGTATATAGAAATACTACTGATTTTTGCATATTGATTTTGTATCCTGCAACTTTACTGAATTTCTTTATCAATTTTAATAGTTTTTGGTGGCATCTTTAGGTTTTTCCAAATATAAGATTATATCATCTGCAAATACAGATAATTTGACTTCTTCATTTCCAATTTGGATGGCCTTTATATCTTTCTCTTGTCTGATTGCTCTAGCTAGGACTTCCACTACTATGTTGAATAACAGTCTTGACAGTGGGCATCCTTGTCATGCTCCAGATATAAGATAAAAGGTTTTCAGTTTTTCCCCATTCAGTATGATACTAGCTGTGGGTTTGTCATATAAGGCTTTTATTACGTTGAGGTATGCTCATTCTATACCCAGCTTTTTGAGAATGTTTATCATGAAGGGATGCTCAACTTTATCAAACGTTTTTTCAGCATTAATCAAAATGATTATATGGTTTTTGCCCTACATTCTGTTGATATAATGTATCACATTCATTGATGCATGTTGAACCATCCTTGCATCCCTGGGATAAATCTGATTTGGCCATGATGAATGATCTTTTTAATGTGTTGTTGAATTTGGTTTGCCAATATTTTGTTGAGGATTTTTGCAACAATATGTAAATCAGAGATATTGGCCTATAGTTTTCTTTTTATTGATATGTCTTTGTCTGGTTTTTGTATCAAGGCAATACTGGCTTTGTTGAATGAGTTTGGAAGTATTTTCTCCTCCTCTGTTTTTCAGAACAGTTTGAGTAGGACGAGTATTAGTTCTTCTTTAAATGGCAGTGAAGCCATTGGGTCCTGCGTTTTTCTGTGCTGGGAGACTTATTATTACAGCTTCAATTTCATTACTTGTTATTGGTCTGTTCAGGTTTTGGATTTCTTCATGGTTCAATCTTGGTAGGTTAAGTGTGTCTAAGAATGTATCCATTTCTTTAGATTTTCTAAATTGTAGGCATATAGTTGTTTATAGTAGCCACTAATAATCCTTTAAATTTCTGTGATATGAGTTGTAATATCTCCTTTTTCATCTCTGATTTTATTTATTTGGGAATTCTCTCTAATTTTCCTACTCTGGCTAAAGCTTGTCTACTTTGTCTAACTTTTCAAAACATCACCTTTCTGTTTCATTCATCTTTTGTATTGTTTTCTTTATTTAAATTCATTTATTTCTGCTCTGATTTGTATTATTTCTTTTCCTCTACTAATTTTTCATTAGGTTTGCTATTGCTTTTCTAGTTCTTTAAGATGTATCATTAGGTTATTTATTTGACGTTTTTCTTTGTTTTTGATGTAAGGACTTATAGCTATAAATTTCCCTTTTAGTATTGCCTTCACTGTATCCCATAGGCTTTGGTATGTTGTGTTTCCATTATCATCTGTTTCAGGAAAATTTTCAATTTTCTTTTTAATTTTTTCATTGACTCATTAGTCATTCAGGAGCATGCTGTTTAATTTCCATGTGTTTCTGTATTTTCTAAAATTACCGTTGTTATTGATTTCTAGTTTTATTCCACTGTGGCCAGAGAAGATGCTTAATATTATTTCAAATTTTGAATGTTTTAATACTTGTTTTGTGACATAACATATGGTCTATCCTTGAGAATGATCCATGTGCTGATAAGAATGTATATTATACAGCTGTTGGATGAAATGTTCTCTAAATATCTATTAAGTTTTTTGTTCCATAGTGCAGACTAAGTATGATGCTTCTTTGTCTATTTTCTTTAAGGGAGATCTGTCCATTGCTAAAAGTGGAATGTTGAAGTCTCCAGCTATTGTATCGCATTGAGGTCTATCTCTCTCTTTAGCTCTAATAATTTATTTTATATATCTGCGTGCTCCAAGTGTTCGGTGCATACCTATTTACAATCATTAGATCCTTTTTTGAATTGACCCCTTTATCACTATATACCAATCTTCTTTGTCTCTTCTTAAAGATGTATTTTTGAAAACCATTTTGTCTGAAATAAGTATAGCTACTCCTGCTCTCTTTTTGTTTCCATTGGCATGGAATATTTCTTGCTATCTCTCTGTTATCAGTCTATGTGTATCTTTATAGGTGAAGTGTGCTTCTTGTAGGCCACAGATCATGGGGTCGTGTTTTTTCATCCATTCAGCCACTCTATGTCTTTTAATTTGAGAGTTTAGTCCATTTATATTAAATGTTATTATTGATAAGTTGGGACTTACTCCTGCCATTTTGTTATTTGTTTTCTGGATTTTTCACAGTCTTCTCTTCAAAAAGAAACTAATAAAAGCTCTATACTAACCTTGTCCTCCTGCTTGAGTTTCTTGGCAAGCCTCACCACTGTGGGATGAAGTGATCTGGGGTCATAGGTAAATGTGAAAGGCAGTCTTGGACACAAGGACTGCAATTCCTAGGCAATTCCTAGTGCTAGGCTGGGTTCAGAGCCAGTGAACTAGGGTGGCATGTGACCTAGTGAGACACAAGCTGGTGCAGCTAAGGGAGTGCTTGTACCATCCTTCCCCCAACCTGAGGCAACACAGCTGGCAGCAACAAACTTGTCTCCTTCTTTCTGCTCAAGAATAGGAGACCTAAGAGTCTTCTTTGGGTTAAATCTACTTGATGTTCTCTAACTTTCTTGTACTTGGATATTGATATCTTTTTCTTGGTTTGGGAAGTTCTTTGATATTAGCCTTTTGAATAAACTTTCTACCCCTATCACTTTCTCTAACTCTTCTTTAAGACCAGTAACTCTTGGATTTGCCCTTTTGAGACTATTTTCTAGATCCTGTAGGCATATTTCATTGTTTTTTATTCTTTTTTCTTTTGTCTCCTCTGACCATGTATTTTCAAATTGCCAGTCTTCAAGTTCACTAATTCTTTCTTCTGCTTGGTGAATTCTGCTATCAAGAGACTATCAACGCATTCTTCAGCATGTTGGTTGCATTCTTTAACACTAGAATTTTCACTTCTTCTTTTTTTTTTTTTAAATCTCTTTGTTAAGTTTATCTGATAGAATTCTGAATTCCTTCTTTGTGTTATCGTGAATTTCTTCAAATCAGCTATTTTTAATTTTTTGTCTGAGAGGTCATATATCTCTATCTCACCAGGATTGGTCCCTGGTGCCCTATTTAGTTCATTTGGTGAGATCGTGTTTTTCTGGATGGTGTTGATGATTGTAGATATCGGTTGGTGTCTGAGTATTGAAGACTTAGGTATTTATTATAGACTTTGCAGTCTGGGTTTGTTTGTGCCCATCCTTCTTGGGAAGGCTTTCTAGGTATTCAAAGGAACTTGGGCCCCAACCCCTATAATGCCATGGCTTTGGCACACTCATAGAGATACTGCCTTGGTGGTCTTGGATAATACTGGAAGAATTATCTGGGTTATCAGGCAGAGACTCTTGTTCTTTTCCCTTACTTTCACCCAAACAAATGGAGTCTCTCTCTCTCTGTTCTGAGCCACCTGGAACTGGAATATGGTGATGCAAGCACCCCTGTGACCACCACCACTGTGACTGCAATGGGTGAGACCTGAAGCCAGCACAGCACTGGGCCTTGCCCAAGGCCCTTCCCTTTAGGGCAGTGAGTTTCTTCAGGCCCTGGGTAAGTCCAGAGATGCTATCTGAGAGCCAAGGATTAGAGTGAAATACCTTTGCAATTTACCTGATATTCTATTCTACTGCAGCTAAGCTCAAACCACAATATAAAGTTCTTCTCACTCTTCCCTCCCCTTTCCATAGGCAGAAGATCCTCTCCCTGTGGTCAACACCACCACTGGTCCATTGGGTGTTCTGCCAGGCCACTTCTGATGTTCACTTAAAGCCCAAGGGCTCATCCATCAGCTTATGGTGAATGCTGACAAGCTTGGGACTCACTCTTCAGGGCAGTGGACTCCTCTCTGGCCCAGGGCAGGTCCAAAAATGCCATGCAAGAGCCTAGGCCTGGACTTGGGGACCCCAAGAGCCTACTTTTGCTCTACTCAACTGTGGTTGAGCTGGTACCTAGGGTGCAAGACAAAGTCCCATTTACTTTTCCCTCTGCTTGTCTCAAACAGAAGGAATCTTTCACTGTAGCCACCACAGCTGGGAATGTGCTGGGTCACCCCAAAGCCAGCATGTCTCAGAGCCCAAGGCCCATGGTGTACTACCTGGGTATTGCTGCTGTTTAATCAGAGCCCAAGGGCTTTTTAGTCAGCAGGTGATGAATCCTGCCAGGACTGGGCCCTTCCCTTCAAGACAGCAGGTTCCCTTTTGGCCCAAGGTGTGTCTAGAAATGTCATCCGGGAGCTAGGGTCTGGACTGGGGGCCTAATGACTTTGCCCAGTGCCCTATCCTACTGTGGCTGGTATCTAAGGTTCAAGACAACATCCTCTTGACTCTTAGGTCTCCTCTTCTTGAGCAGAAAGAAGGGGACACTTTTGTTGCTGCCAGCTGTGTTGCCTCAGGTTCGGGGAGGGATGGTGCAAGCATTCCCTTAGCTGCACCAGCTTGTGTCTTGCTAGGTCACATGCCACCCTAGTTCACTGGCTCTGAACCCAGCCTAGCACTAGGAATTGCCTAGGAATTGCAGTCCTTGTGTCCAAGACTGCCTTCCACGTTTACCTATGACCCCAGAGCACTTCATCCCACAGTGGTGAGGCTTGCCAAGAAACTCAAGTTCCGACCACTAGGCTGAAGAAGTCACCTCTGGCTAGGGCTGGTTCGAATGCTCCCTCTGTGTGCAGGCGCTGGAGGACACCAGCATGGCTTTATTCTTTGCCATGACGGGACGGCACTGAGTTCAATGTAAAGTCCCCCAGGCATTGCAAGCTTTCTCCCCAAAGTGCACAGATCTCTCTCCATGCTGCATGGCTGCTGGCAGGGAATGGGGGAGTAGTGCCACTGGCAATTCAAGACTATCTCTCCTGCCCTCTTTAATGCCTTTCTCCATGATATGAAGTTAAATCCAGGTGCTGTGATTACTCGCCTGATTTTTGGTTCTAGTGATGGTGCTTTTCTCTATGCTGTTAGTGGCTACAATTTGGTCTTCCAGCGGTGGCAGTGAGGGTGGGGGTGGGCAATGAATGGTATAAGCTTCCATCTTGCTCTGCCTTTAGAGTTAAATAATTTTGGGGAAGTCCCTTAACGTATCTGAACCTCAGGTTTCATATCTTTCGAGTAAAGGAAATAGTACCAGTATGTAAGCTCAATGAGACAGTGCATGTGACAGCACTTTATAAATTTTAAAGCACTATAGAACTGTTGGGCATTTTGATTAATGAGTATCTAGGCTGACTTCTATATTTCATAAGGTGGAGATAAAAATATATTAAGGTGCACTGTCACTGTCATACACAAAAGTGGGCCTCTAGGGCTGAGCTCCCACCGCTATCCTGGAATACTTCCAAAACTCCAAAGTGAAGGTGAAAGTGGGAATTGAAAAGGGAAGGACGGCCAGGCATGGTGGCTCACGCCTGTAATCCCAGCACTTTGGGAAGCCAAGGGGAATGGATCTCCTGAGGTCAGGAGTTTGACACCAGCCTGGCCAACACGGTGGAACCCGTGTCTACTAAAAATGCAAAAATTAGCCGGGCAAGGTGGTGGGCATCTGTAATCCCAGCTACTCGGCAGGCTGAGGCAGGAGAATTGCTTAAACCCGGGAGGCGGAGGTTGCAGTGAGCCTGGATCGCACCATTGCACTCCAGCCTGGGCAGCAAGAGTGAGACAAAAAACAAAAAAACAAAAAAAAGAAAGAAAGAAAGAAAGAAAGAACAAAAGAAAGAAAGAATGAAAAAGAAAAAGGAAGGAGATAACAATCACCTTAAAAAAAAAGTTGGAAGGGAAATGTAAAGGATCATGTAGTCCATAGGTTGACAAGCTTTTTCTATAAAAGTCCAGAAAGTAAATATTTTAGGCTTTACTGGTCATACAGTCTCTGTTGCAGCTACTCAACACTGCTGTTATAGCACAAAAGCAGCACCAACAGACCATATATTAAAAAAATGAACATGCTTGTGTTTCAATATAACTTTATTTGTGGACATTGAAATTTGAATTGCATGTAAGTTGCATGAGTCAAAAAATATTATTTTCCTTTTGATTGTTTTTCAGTCATTTAAAAATGTAAAGTCATTCTTAGCTCACGGGTCATACAAAAATAAGTGGTGGGATGGATTTGACCCAAGTGTTGTAGTTTGCAAAACCCTATGTAGTCTATTTCTCTCGGTCCTGGGTTAACTGTGAGGGACAACCTAAATCTACTAGCTGCTAATTTAGCTGTTAAGGATACTTGAAAAAATAGGATAATTAAGACTTTGCAGTGAGAGAATATCATTCAAAAATCAAATAATGAAAAAAATCTATACAGAGAATTTTTTAAAGACTTTATTTAGATAAAAGGGGTGATTTACACATACTGTGCCAAAGAAAATGAAGACATAACTGGACCTCCACTGATAAGAATGTCCAGCTAGATTAAGAAGTTTGCTAATTGACACGTGTAAGTTTAGAAAAGATAAACAGAGCTTCATTTGTAGGACACATAAGCTGTGTTGTTATGCACAGACAGACCAAGTTCACTGTTGCTAAGAATCCTGTCAGATTAAATCAACCTGCAAATATATAATTGTGACATCTTGTTCTCTTTGGTACAGTGTGTGCCACTGTAGTCATTATCTCAAAGCTCTTTCACTCTGAAGAGCATCAGTGTTTAATTATATTCTTTTATGAGACCTCATTTGTAGACATCATCCTCTTTCAGAGTTGGCTTTGCTGAGGGAAAGTAGGTCATTTTTTCAAGACTGTCCCAGTAGTGCTGAACAGTAAGCCTCTCAACAATGTCCTTTTAAACAGAGCATCTTGTGGAACCAAAACTCCTTGTTCTTGCTTTAAATTCTTTAGCTGTAAGTTGACAGATGAACTCATATCCCAATTCCTACAGGCCCTCACTGTCCACAACAAGGCCCAGGGGAAGATTATGGGCTTGTGGTTTGTTCAGTCTAGCACGTGGGTCAAATTCTTCATAACAAATGGAGAAAAACATATTTTATGTCCATTATTTCGAAAGCTAAAACTATGAGTTATTTGAGAATAATCTCTAAGAAACTCTGTGAGAAAAGGAATAATAGTTAATATGTGATATGAAGGTTGAGAAAGACAAAAGGTTGACAAACTATGGCCCAAGGACCATATCTGACCCACTGTTGTTTTAATAAATGTGGTTTTATTAGAGCACAGTCCTGTTTGTTTATCTATGTGTTGTCTATGGCTTTCTTGCTACGATAGCACACTTAAGTAGTTGAAACAAAAACCTATGGCCTGCAAAATCTATAACATGTACTGGTCCTTCAGAAAAAAAATCTTGCTGACCCCTGCTAAAGACTGTCAAAATCACAAAATTAAAAGTATAAATGAACTTGAGTTAGCTATTCAAGTGTTGAAAAAATTTTCAGAATTACATTATGTTTGTTATGCTATTTTCAACTTAAAATGAGACATAATGCCAAAAGTGCTTTTATTCCCCTTTGTTCATCTAAATTAATTACTATCTGGCTTAGTAGTACTGTGTATTCTACTGGTACTTCAAAAATAAAAAAAAAAAAAACAAAGTTCTTTCTGAGTGTGTGTATGTGTGTGTTGTGTGTGTATGTGTCTGATTATGTGTGTTTAACAAAAACACAATTTCTGAGTTTTTTATTTTAAATTGAAATGGGAGATATACATTCATGCTCTCAGCATACCCAACCTTCATGGGCCTGAAAATTCATTAATAAGCATCAAACCTGGGAGGAGATGATGCTTCAGACCTAAGAAATTGCTCAGATGCTTGATTAAGGAGGAACTAGTGCCCTTTACCAGGTATAAGATTTCTTACTTCCTTAGAATTTTTTCTTTAAAGACAGGGTCTTACTCTGTTGCCCAAGCTGGAGTACCATGATGCCATCAGACTTCACTGCAGTCCTGGACCCGTGGGCTCAAGTGATCCTCCCACCTCAGTCTCCCAAGTAGCTTGGGACTTCAGGTGCATCACCACACCTGGCTAATTTTTTTAAAAATCTTGTCGTTGGGCCGGGCGCGGTGGCTCACGCCTGTAATCCTAGCACTTTGGGAGGCCGAGGCGGGTGGATCACGAGGTCAAGGGTTCGAGACCAGCCTGACCAACATGATGAATCCTCGTCTCTACTGAAAATACAAAAATTAGCTGGGTGTGGTGGCAGGCGCCTGTAATCCCAGCTACTCAGGAGGCTGAGGCAGGAGAATTGCTTGAACCCGGGAGGCAGAGGTTGCAGTGAGCCAAGATCTCGCCACTGCATTCCAGCCTGGGCGACAGAGTGAGACTCTGTCTCGAAGGAAAAAAAAAAAGAAATCTTCTTGTTGTTTTTATAGAGACAGAGTTCTCCCTATGTTGCCCAGGCTGGGATCAAACTCCTGGCCTCAAGTGATCTGCTCGCCTTGGCCTCTCTAAGTGCTAGGATTACAGGTGTGAGCCACAGTGTCTTGCCTCCCCAGGATCACTTTAGAGTAGGAATCATGTTATATACTATCCTTGTCCGTATCTCCAAAAGTGGGGAAGGGCTACTCAGGAGAAGGACATTACATGGGTGCTAATCCATGTGTCTCATGGATAATTCTACCAGTTAGCCAACTTCCTTATCCTCTCTTGGAGATGGTCAACACACACTACAATGTGCTTAGAGAAAATAATAATCTGGTTCAGTAGAAGGTTGGATTCAGCAAAGAAACTACTGATACTTTTTAACAAAATTAAGATACAATTGTTTTCCTTTACTTTCTCCAGGTTATTTTTACATGCATATATCATTAAAAAGTACCACTGACTCTCTCTCTCCCAGTCAGTACGCAGCTGGAAGTGGGATTTCCTTTGGCAGTTATTGAAGAACTTGTTTTAAGACTGAATATATATGAGATTTTTGAGTTCCACAAATGTGGTTGTATTTCTAAAAAGAAACTTTTCCTAACTAGAATCCATTCACCAATGCCAAATTAAATATTTGGTCAAATATAGCACCAGGGAATTAAAAGTATATGTAAGTATCTTTTCTAGAAATTCTTATTTTTATCATATGGTTTTTCTTTTGAAAGTCTAAAAGTAATCCAAATGCCCATCTCCTAACCCACTGAATACTTACCATTAATAATGATTTACTTATAAAGGTCTTCTGTAAAGGGAACAAGGGCTTAGTATGTGGAATGGCAGCTTGATTTTTCTTTTTTTGACATCTGTTAAAAATGAGCTATGATATCATCAATCATATTAACTCTGTGGTATTGTGTTATTCCTTGGGTGTTCTGATTTCATATGACAGCTTTTTCTAGGATTCAAACCATAAACATTTCCTCTAGAGACTGTAATGAGAGGTACAATTATCAACCCAGGGGACTGTACATGATAAAAAATATATATATACCATTTTGCACTCTCTTCCCTAACCCACAAAATTAACTCTTTACCATAATTTTCTACAAATAGAAGAACAAGTAGAACCACTAGAAGCTGAAAAATCTAAAGGTTTAATTGCCAAGAACAATTTGGAACGATAGAAATTTTTTCTAAATGTATATAAAGCATGTAAGAAAATGTGTATTATAGATTTGAGCGGAATATACCAATCTGTAAAGTAGTAACCAAAACTGATAAACATGGAAATTCTATCACTTTATTTAAGAATAATGAAGTATTTTATTGTCAAATTCTAGTAGTATTCTATTTATACAAAAAGGAACATAGAAAATAATTTTGTTTAAAAAGGTGGCATTGATAGGAAAATAGCAGAGTATTTCCTCATATCTAAATTATATATATTTCTTTTTGGATACTCATACACAACCTAATAGTTTGAAACCCAATTCTCAACTAAATGTCAAAGTGGGGGGTGTGTGTGTATGTGTGTGCATTTTAGGCTACTTAATGCTTATTTGTATTATAGACAACAAAATAGCATCAGATGCATTTTGTTGTTGTAATTTATACACTGGATTTTAATGTTGCTGAATGATTTTCAAATTAGCTTACATTAAATAAACTTATGCCTTTTTATTGTTACTCATGTCAAGAATAAGCACTCTAAGAGACTTTACCAAGAGTTTTGTGAAGGAGACTAGCTGGATTTTCATCACTCTCATTTCCTCTTCCTCTTGAGCAAAGTGCAGCCATGCTAGTAATTATGCCCAGCTGTGGGAATGGCTTCTGCCAGTTGAATATATATAAGTGGAAGTGATTTGTGCCGTTTCTAGGCTTGGCCCATAAAAACTTCCCATTTGCAATTCTCTGTGTTATTTTTTCAGTGACTGTAGAAGCTGTGTGTGGAACGCGGTAGAGCCACAGGATGGAAAGGTATCAGCTCCCTAATCATGGAGAAGAGCCATCTGCCAATCAAGAAAACCGATTTTGGACTTTAAGTGAGCAAGTAATAAGCCACTGATGTTTGAGAATTTATTACAGCAGTTAGAGTTACCTTCATAAATACAAATTTGAATTAATTTAGATGTGATTTGGAATTATTATTTTTTAAGTCTACATGCTAACAAATCTATGGAAATGTTGGAATGAAGTTATTTCTTAAGAATTTTCACAAAGTAACTCGAGTTACTAATAATTCCATTTTCTGATAACCTGCTAAACAGCTTTGATATAGGGAATTTGAAAAATTTAAGAATAAAAATAACGAATAAATAAAACAAAGCTCAGGGGCTTCTTTATACTACCAGCTACATCATATCTCCATGATAAAAATATGTTAGAAGAAATTTCAGGCACTTACAGGCTCTCCTTACATATGAACATCAGGATCTCATTGAAACTAACTTATGTGCAGACCACAGTGAGGAACGGACTATCAAAGGAATGATTTTCAATCCTGTATAACCATTGTATCACACTTAACCCCTAGTATAATTAATCTGCTTTGCCTAACTGGGGCTGGTGACCATCAGAGGAGAAGGAAGAAAGAAAAATAAAAAATATTCACATTGACTCCAGTTCCATGTCCCAGTCCACCGTTCTGCTTTTCGTGGAGAAATACACCTTCTTGGACATCTCAAGAAACACTCACAAAATATAGAGATAAATAAAAGCTATAGAAAACAACCTCAGCAAATTTAGGTTTGCATTGTGCAAAAGGTAACAGTGTCATGTTACACTCCCACAATCCTTTTAGGAGCATTCAATATAGAATTATTATAAGTTGTAGATAACTTTTGGAGCAGTGTTAGACCCACGGCCTACCTATATGAGAATGTCCTTCCCTTTTGATGGAGGTTTGTTTCCAGGACTTGTATCCGTACCATGTGACTCCACTCCTGACCACAGTGCATTGGATCAGCTGGGCAAATAAGATTCTCCCTCTAGGAATTTTGGCATATAGATATAGCAACCCCAGTAAGTTTAGACTATTACCAGAGATGATGAAAATTGTCATATCTTAGTACAAAATGGTGTCATTCTTCAGAGAAAAATTATTCAGACCTAAAGATGAGAGAGCCTGAGCAAGTTAAGGAGAAGGAGGAAGAAAGAAAGAGAGAGACAGAAACAGGGACAGAGACTGAGGATGAATATTATGAGAGAGAGCCTAGATTACTAGTCGCTTTCCATTTCCTGGTTCTAAACCCACTGCTGAAATATGTTTAGCTTCTGGATTCACCCAGAATAAAAGTGCAAATGAATTGCACATTCAAAGCTCCCTCTTATGGACCAGTTCTGGCTAATATTAAATTACATCTTTAATGGGCCTTCCTCCTTCAACCCTACATTCCCAACATTCATAATTTTTTCCTCTGCTTTAGTAATTTTTCAACAAGTCATTTCCTACTTATCTGTAAAGATCTGGATCAAATATCACCTCCTCTGTGAAGTTTTATCAAATTCTGTTAGGCAAAGTTAGTCATTGCTGCACCTGTGTTTTCACAGTACTTTCCACATTCCCGAATTATAACTATTTGCTTATGAAACTCCCATCCATCAAACTAGAAGGACTTGTGGGTTCTTGAATCTCCAGCATCTAGCAGTTTCTGGCACACAGTGGGCTCTCAATAAATGTTTATTAAGTGAATGAATCGATGCAGCAATTACTTCCTCTATGATGTTTTAAAACAACAAGACACTCCCAAAATCCTGTGTCTGTCCTCAATCTTTTGAAGGGAACTTTCCCTTTATAAGCAACTATTAGCTTTCTTGCTCTCCATCCATACTTCTCTTGAGGCAGGCTCATTCTAGAACACTTACTATTCTATAACTCATATATTTTTCATAAGAAGTGACTCAATCCTGCTTATAGCTAGGGTTCATTAGCAAATGAGGCTTTCACACTGCAAATATCACTCCTAGAGTGAGTTTACACTTAGAGAAGACATACAGAAAAATTAATTGAAGAGCTTCAGAAATTACTATAATTTGGATTTATTCACAGGAGTTAGCCTACTTTACTGTTCAACGTAGAAAGATATGTTAGTTATACCATGAAACATCAAACTGATTTGAAGAAAAGTATAAATTATAATACAGAATTTTTTAAAGGCCTAAATAAGCCTATAGCATATCAGAGCAGCAAGTGAAACGACTCAGATATCCTAAGTCTCAGCAATGCTCTTTATCACTTTGGAATCCAAATTTCCAGTTTCACTATTGTGATTTCAGAGGGTAGCTACATAACTAAAACTCATATGCAGCACATGTAGCTACAGGGCTTCTGCTGTCTTCTTGTTTCAAAGAGGCATGAGCTGTTGGCTCACCAGATTTTTAAATATCTATTGAGGGAAACAGAGAAACAAAGCAAAGGGATTTTTTTTAACTGCATGTATATGTGTGTCTGTCTGTTTCTCTACTGTGTGGGTGTGTGTATGTATGCAAAATTATATGACATTATATACAAGTATATATCCACAATAATATATATGTATGTGTATGTATATGTGTATATGTATATAAGTCTGAAAGTGTTTTTTTTTATTTTTTCCTCCAACCCTTCATAAGGTGAAGTTTCATCAAATCACATCATGTGACTCTCCAGGAACCTCACTGAACGGGTCTGACTCATCGTCTGGGAATTTTAAATAGGCATGTGCTTCCATGAGAGTTAATACTTAAAAATACACGTACACACAAACTGGCAGTGAAAGAGAGAAAAAAAAAAACAAAACAAGTGAAACTTTTGCTTGGCACAAACGCTCAGGTCAGACACTGGCCACTCAATATTTCACAGTTAATTACCAGGTGGAGTTACCTTTAGAGTGAAGGTGGTGGCTCCGTGCTCAGGGGGCAGAGGCAGTAAATCTATATTTATATCATTAAGTCAGCCAGGTTGGATTAAGCAGTGAAAGGGACTGCCCCTGAAATCGCTGACCCTGATTCCCCTCTGTGATATAAAATTTTCCTGAGAACCGAGGGCTGTGTCTGCCCACTAGTGGTCAGGTGGCAGAGCTGGTGGGACCCAGACATTCCCTAGAGGATTTTATGCCAAGTTCTATCTGGATCAGTTGGGAATTGGCCCTGGCCACCCAGTCTGCTTTTTAAAAAGCATTTCGAGATCTATCAACTCAGCCCCATGAGATAAGTCAGTAAGAATAACACAGGCTATGTCAATCTTGAGGGAAGGTTTCTGTTTGCGATAGTTACCTTAAACTCTTATTAATGACGAGTAACTGCACTAGGAACTAACATTTCTAATCTATTACCAAAAGATCACCTGAGTCAGTAACACTCAGTAAAGACTAATCACTTTTTTCTTTCTCTTCCCAGACCTTCATAGAATACCACAACGACGTTTTTCTATTTGAAAACTACGAAATGTTCTTCCATTGTTAAAAGAATTAATTTGGAAAACTTTAAGTTAGAATTAAAAGTCTTTTACTCAATTGGCCCCAAACTATAATTTCCTCTTTATCTTTATTAAGTTCCTAAATGAAATCTGTATTCTAGCTAAACTCAAACACTATTGTTAGCTGACTTTTCAGTTTTTCCTCCATGCTTTACTCATGACTGCCTACTTGAAGCACTCACCATGTTCTAATACCTACCCACCTACCTACTTACCTATACAAATATTACCCTTGATTCAAAGCCAAATCCTACATCATCAAACTCTGAAATGCCTGAGATTAGCATGTACTAAGTATATGAAACTTCCTATAGCCTCCTTTCATTGCCATATTTGTATCTCAAGCAATAACTTAGATATATGTCATCTCTACAGGAATTATGTCATATACTCCTTTTAACCCTTATAATGTCCGGTAAAGTTTTTTGTTGTTGTTGTTGTTTTTATTTGTTTCTGGTTTTTACCTTGGAAAAGGGTGTCCACAAATATTTGTTGAAAGTAAAACACAGAGATAAATCTGTGATTAAATTTATCAGTCAAGACTCAAATCCAACACAGTTTTATTGTGGTCCAACGTAATAGCACCAATAACAAAGCTACCCCTCCATGGGTTTAGTTTTCTCTATAACTCCTAGGAACATTAATCTTGCATTGTGGGTAGAAAAAGGCTGTTGGGTGGCGTATTGACTCCCTGATAAAGTATAAATTTTCTTCAACCTTCACATGAGTGTTAGACTTCATGATATGCAGATTTTCTCAATTTTAGCACATTTTAAAATAAAAACTGTTTGTATGAAATACCATTGGAAAACTTAAATAAGTTTTAAGGAAATTCAAATCCATGAGCTCATCCTTTTCTTTCACCACTTCTTTGTCCAGTGACATTAGGAACAACCAGACCATCTCATTATATTCACTAGTTTTCAAAAAATGTTCAGTAGCATCATACATAAAGTTACTGAGTTCCTTGATTCTTTTAAGTGAGTGATTAAGAAGATCCAAAGCAGATATTTTGTGTATCTCTGTTACCAATTCATGCTATGGACTATCAATTCTCTCCTTACTACTGAAAATAGAGACATGAGCATCTTTAAATGTAAACATATTAGACAGCCAATTCTGGAAACGCTAGAACCAATTCCGAAAATGATTCCTGAAATTCTCTTCCTCTAGAATCACTCTTGGTATTAAAATGTCTGTATTTGTTAGGGTTCTCCAGAGAAACAGCCAATAGGAGATATATATGTGTGTGTGTGTGTGTGTGTGTGTGTGTGTGTGTGTGTGTGTGACAGAGAGAGAGAGAGAGAGAGAGAGAGAGAGAGAGAAAGAGAAAGATTAGAATTAGTTTTCTTGATTATGTAGTCTGAGACGTACCATGATCTGGCATCTGCAAGTTATAGATCTAGGAGAGTCAATGGCATAGTTTTAGTCCAAGGCTGAAGACCTGAATGCCTGAAAACCGAGAGACAGTCCTAATCCAACAGCAGGAGAAGACTGATGTTTCAGCTCAAGCAATTGTGCAGAGAAAGCAAATTCTCCCTTCCTCTCCCTTTTTGTTCTATTCAAGCCCTCAACAAGTTAGATCAGGCCCACCCACACATTGTGCTTTACTCAGTTTAACATATTCGAGTGTTAATCTAATCCAGCAACATTCTCATGGACACACCCAGAAGTAATATTTAACCAAGTATCAGGCATCTAGTGATGCAGTCAGGATGACAAATAAATTAGCCAGCAAAAATATCATATCTGTTATAAATATTTAAAATTCGGTATTTTTTCTTCTAATTTATAACTCTTCAATTCTCTAAACACTTTATACCTCAAATATTGATAGAAAAAATGCTTTAGTTTACTCATATGGTTGTTAAAATTGTTTTAAACTTGTTTTTATATTTATCATTAGTCTCATTTTTATAATTGTTTGATATAAATAACCCATCAACTTTTTCTGTTCTAATAGTTTTCTTTCCTAGTGTAAAGAAAGTTATAACTCATCAACTAGCAAAGAAAAACATTTCAAAAGAATTTTGCCTTTCTCTTCAGATTTTCTCATCAAAATGACTTTATTCTCTCACAAGTATAACAAAAGTTATGCTCAGAAAACTTCTAGTGTAATTTCACTCACTTGTTTTCTTTACTTCCTCCTCCATTTTTTCTTTCCTTCCTTCTTTTCCTCCCGTCCTCCTTTACTTCCTTTTCTTCCTTCCTTCCTTCCTCCCTCCCTCCCAACCTCCTTCCTTCCTTCCTTCCACCATCCTTCCCTCCCTCCTTCCTTCCTTTCTTTTCTTGTTTCTTTCTTTTTTTTATTTAATTATCTCACTATGCAGCTCTTCCTTCCTCTTAAAATCAATTTACTCCCAGTCCAGCCATTATGATTTGCCTTAAAAAGTTTCCCAAACAATCCCACCAGATCCAAGATTTCTTGTCAGCTTCTTCAGCAACTATCAATTAACAGAATTTAAAGTCTCAAAATCCAAACTTGGAACAAAAGAATAAAACAATTCTTTAAGTTTAATTATACTGTCCCAAATAAATTCAATAGAAAATATATCAGAAGGGAAAAAGTAATTAAATGATCAAGATAGAAGCTGTCAAAAATAGCCATTATACTTTCTAATCTCTTTTCTCCAAAATATCATCAGAAATCATACT
Organism: Homo sapiens; assembly: GCF_000001405.40. Lineage (NCBI taxonomy): Eukaryota > Metazoa > Chordata > Mammalia > Primates > Hominidae > Homo > Homo sapiens. Next base: position 22,831,711 of record NC_000006.12, read on the forward strand.
TCAGACATATGAGTGAAGATATCTGACCAGGGGTTCTGGTAGAGAACAGTTGACAATGTAATATGTATGCCAATATTATTTTGCTATTTAACTCTTTGAAAAATTCATCGTTTTGTCATTATAAAAGAGTGTTATAAAAAATTCTAATTTCTTTCTTTATTCAAAAAACAGTTATTAAGCATCTTGCTCATTTCAGGCCACGTGGGAAGCATTGATAGAAATGTAGAATGGATGCTATGGAATATATGTCATCAGTTACAGCTTTGGTTCTTTATAGACTGAGGGATGCTTTATGTAGATCTTTGCTATGGTACCGACTAGACTGATTCAGATAGCCAGCTACTACATAGATTATTTTCCAAATCATTACAGTCTATCTACCTACTCCTTAGATCAGTTGTTCATGGAAATATGGTACAGTCATTGAGAAAACCAAAGACACAAATAATTGATATGTAAATTGTCGTTTATCATTGGTTTGTGTGTCATTCATTATGCCCTCTTAGAAAGAAGACAAAGTTACTTAGGAGAAAATAAAAACAAGAAGATATAAAACAGAAATAATATTTTTAAAAAGCATAAAGATATTTTATGATGCAAAGGCATTAAAAATCAAATCTTTCTAGCTCATTGGTAACTTAGGAAAGTAGGTATAATTTATAGCTACCATCTTTAAGGAATATTTTATGAGGATTATGATTTGCCTTAAAAAGTTTCCCAAACAATCCCACCAGATCCAACCTTTCTTGTCAGCTTCTTCAGCAACTATTAATTAACAGGATTTATCTCTTATCAGATTGGGATCAAAGGGAATAAACCACCCTGCGCAGAGATTATGCTTTAGGCATTTATTCTCCAATTCATAAATTAAATAGCAATGTGATACAGAAGAAAATAATGACTGACAGATTAGGGTTATTACAAATGAGTATAATATCTCAAGGCAGGAGGTTAAAATAAAAATAATTTAGCCTTCCTTTTATATGTATGCCAGAGCAACAGGGCCCCATTATCACCCCATATGTATATTTTCCTTCTTGAATAAATTATTATATAAGATTGTTTATTCATGTGCGGACATAACCTAGTGCTATGGCAACTATGGAACAAAACATTATATATTCACCTTTCAATTTTTTATAATACTGTTTATTTTGTATTAGTCACATGGAAACAGACTTCCAGAGAAGCTCTAATGAATAGTTTTAAATGTATTCTCCTATTGATTTTGTTATATGACAGTGAGAATTTCTTAACAACATGAAGGAAACCATAGAATTATAAAGCTAGAAGAGAGGTTGAGGTCAAGATGGCTGACTAGATGCAGGTAGTATGTGCATCCTCCACGGAGAGGAACCAGAATAGTAAGTAGAGATATTTTGAAGAGATCATCTAGGAGAGAACACTAACATTCACCAGAGATAGAAAGCACCAGAAGTAAGTAAGGAGAGGTTTTGAGGCAGCTTGCCTGGCCGGGGACTAAGAGCCAAAAGAGGTTCCTGGAGATGGGGAATCAGTAAGAGAGAAACCCCCAGGGCTCCACGTTCTGAAACAAACTTTTATAATCTTGGCTACAGGAGAAACCTTTGACCTGTTAGAGTAAGTAGCTAGGCAGACATGAGCAGGGGAGGAAAGGCCCCCACCCAGGAATGTCAGGCGATCATCAGGTGATGGCCAGGCAGTTGTTAAACTGTTTCTCTAAAATAGTAATTGGTCACAGCTGGTGCCAGGGAACGGCTAACTCTTGAAGCTAGTGATCAGCAGCTTCCTGATAAGGTCTCAAGAGTTGGGTGAGAAGGCTCAAGCATGTGCACTAAGAGGTAAAATGGTGGAATTTAACTGGTATATGACCTTCCTCTAGGAATGCTCAACTGGTAAGGGAAAAGCGCCTCAAATGAGCATGGGCACAACTTCAGTAAACACACCACGCATGTGACCTCTGTGCATGTGGACAGCCCCCGAGGGAAAAATCGAGGGAGGAGAAATGGAAACCCCAGAATCATGCCAATGTATAAAACTGCAAGTCAAGGGTTGGACAGAGGATTTGGGTCTCTCAAGTTGCCTGCTTGTCCCTCTTCCAAGTGTACTTTACTTCCTTTTGTTCCTGCTCTAGAACTTTTTAATAAACATTCACTCCTCCTCTAAAACTTGCCTCAGTCTCTCCTTCTGCCTTATGCCCCTTGGCCACATTGCTTCCTCAAGGAGGCAAGAATTGAGTTTGCTGCAGACATGTATGGATTCAGCACTGCTAACAGACCCATTATGGTTTCAAGCCTGACATACAGCACTGCCTAAAGATTTCACAGAGATGTTACTCCAGAAACAGAACCCATGCAGCATCCCATCAACATCTAAGCCTGGAGCAGCTTCAGCTGAGAGCCATTTTGAGAACCTAGATACCAGTGATCTACAGAAATGGCTGTTGCTGCTGCACTGCCTTGAGGAGGCAGAGAGGAGATTGTCATCCCACAAACCCCTGATAGGGTCCCTACTGCCCTGCTTTGGGCTGCTGTTGAGACTGAGATGTGAATGAGCCATACTCCTCACAGCTGCTTGTTCACACTCCTTGCCTAAGAAGGATTTTGCTCTCTCTCGATCCAAGCCCAAGGCACCGTTTTGAGAGTTTAATGCTGGACTTCACCCCCCCTTCACCTTGGACTGAGTTTGGGCTAATGTAGCTGCATCTGTCACCCAGCCAAGAAGGGACAGGCTCCTTTACACATCTAGGACAATAACAACTGACCTGCAGTGGCCTGCTGTGAGACCAAGATGCAAGTGGACTGCACACTCTGTAGTTTCTTGTTCATCCTGCCTACCTAGGAGAGGCCCCTCCCTTGTCTCAGGCCCAAGGTGTCATTTTGAGGGTTTAATCCTGGGTCACATCCCATGGTTGGGCTGAGTTCAAGTTGGCATGACTGCAGCCACCACCTGGCCAAGGAGGAACAAAGAAACTAGGCTCTCCTATCTAGAACAATACCCACCACACTATCATGGGCTACTGTGAGACTGAGACTTGAGTGAACCATACTGACCACAGCATCTTACCCATGTTGCTCATCTAAGAGGGGCCCTGCCCTTTCTGTTCATAAACCCACAGTTTGCACCAATTTGAGGGTTTAACACTGGGCTGTGCCCCACCTTTGAGTTGAGTTTGAGCAAATGTGATTACAGCCACACTACCCAGCCAGGGAAGAGATGGGGAGACAAAGATTTCCTAAGCACACTTTGGACAATAGCCACTACCCTCCTATGGGCAGCTGGGGGACTAGGGACTAGCCCACCCAACACATCACAGCTTTCAGCTACACCAGCATAGACTTCTTGGGTACCAGTGGGTGGCTACACCACTGCTACAACCATCACCCACACCAACTCAGCTGCCCAAGGGTCTAAGAACCAACCCACATACCTGGTCCACCTCTTCCACTTCTAGTTTCTAAGCAAGCCACCTGAAGATTCAAGAATCAGATCTCCAGGACCCTCTAACACTAGAGCCAGTGTAAACTGCTCTAGGGCCTTAAACAGGGCATATTTACCCCACTGCTGCCACCACCAGGGCCCAAAGATTAGCTCAGTTTACATCCAAGTCCTCCCCAAAAATTGCACCACTACTTGAATTAATAACTATACCCTAAGCAACTGAGGAAATCACAGATACCACTGACTCTGTGTATTGCCAAAGAAGTAATGCAAAGATCACACTACCACAGGCACCCAAAGTCAAAGTCAAACTACATTAATCAACAATATACATACAACCTCAGGGAAAATTTCTCCCCTACAAAAGTAATTTCAAAAAATTGGAACAAGCAACTGCTACATCAGATGCACAGATATCAGTGGAAGACCACAGGAAACATGAAAAAGCAGGGAAATATGACACAACCAAAAGATAAAACAATTGTCTAGCAACATATCCCAATCAAAAAGAACTCCTAGAAATGTCAGATAAAGAATTCAAAATAGCTCTCCCTCTCCCTCTCCCTCTCCCTCTCCCTCTCCGTCTCCGTCTCCCTCTCCCTCTCCCTCTCCCTCTCCCTCTCCCCTCTTTCCAAGGTCTCCCTCTGATGCCGAGCCGAAGCTGGACTGTACTGCTGCCATCTCGGCTCACTGCAACCTCCCTGCCTGATTCTCCTGCCTCAGCCTGCCGAGTGCCTGCGATTGCAGGCGCGTGCCGCCACGCCTGGCTGGTTTTCGTATTTTTGGGTGGAGACGGGGTTTCGCTGTGTTGGCCGGGCTGGTCTCCAGCTCCTAACCGTGAGTGATCCGCCAGCCTCGGCCTCCCGAGGTGCCGGGATTGCAGACGGAGTCTCCTTCACTCAGTGCTCAATGGTGCCCAGGCTGGAGTGCAATGGCGTGATCTCGGCTCGCTACAACATCCACCTCCCAGCAGCCTGCCTTGGCCTCCCAAAGTGCCGAGATTGCAGCCTCTGCCCGGCCGCCACCCCGTCTGGGAAGTGAGGAGCGTCTCTGCCTGGCCGCCCATCGTCTGGGATGTGAGGAGCCCCTCTGCCTGGCTGCCCAGTCTGGAAAGTGAGGAGCATCTCTGCCCAGCCGCCATCCCATCTAGGAAGTGAGGAGCGCCTCTTCCCGGCCACCATCCCATCTAGGAAGTGAGGAGCGTCTCTGCCCGGCCACCCATCGTCTGAGATGTGGGGAGCGCCTCTGCCCTGTCGCCCCGTCCCGGATGTGAGGAGCGTCTCTGCCCGGCCACCCCGTCTGAGAAGTGAGGAGACCCTCTGCCTGGCAACCGCCCTGTCTGAGAAGTGAGGAGCCCCTCCGCCCAGCAGCCGCCCCATCTGAGAAGTGAGGAGCCCCTCCGCCCGGCAGCCACCCCGTCTGGGAAGTGAGGAGCGTCTCCACCTGGCAGCCACCCCGTCCGGGAGGGAGGTGGGGGGGTCAGCCCCCCGCCCGGCCAGCCGCCCCATCCGGGAGGGAGGTGGGGGGGTCAGCCCCCCGCCTGGCCAGCCGCCCCATCCGGGAGGTGAGGGGCGCCTCTGCCCGGCTGCCCCTACTGGGAAGTGAGGAGCCCCTCTGCCCGGCCAGCCGCCCCGTCCAGGAGGGAGGTGGGGGGGGTCAGCCCCCCGCCTGGCCAGCCGCCCCATCCGGGAGGTGAGGGGCGCCTCTGCCCGGCCGCCCCTACTGGGAAGTGAGGAGCCCCTCTGCCCGGCCAGCCGCCCCGTCCAGGAGGGAGGTGTGGGGGTCAGCCCCCCGCCCGGCCAGCCGCCCTGTCTGGGAGGGAGGTGGGGGGGTCAGCCCCCTGCCCGGCCAGCCGCCCCATCCAGGAGGTGAGGGGCGCCTCTGCCCGGCCGCCCCTACTGGGAAGTGAGGAGCCCCTCTGCCCGGCCAGCCGCCCCGTCCGGGAGGGAGGTGGGGGGGGTCAGCCCCCCGCCTGGCCAGCTGCCCCGTCCGGGAGGGGGGGGGGTCAGCCTCCCGCCGGGCCAGCCGCCCCGTCCGGGAGGTGAGGGGCGCCTCTGCCCAGCCGCCCCTACTGGGAAGTGAGGAGCCCCTCTGCCTGGCCAGCCGCCCCGTCCGGGAGGGAGGTGGGGGGGTCAGCCCCCCACCTGGCCAGCCACCCCATCCGGGAGGTGAGGGGCGCCTCTGCCTGGCCGCCCCTACTGGGAAGTGAGGAGCCCCTCTGCCCGGCCACCACCCCGTCTGGGAGGTGTACCCAACAGCTCATTGAGAACGGGCCATGATGACAATGGCAGTTTTGTGGAATAGAAAGGGGGGAAAGGTGGGGAAAAGATTGAGAAATCGGATGGTTGCCGTGTCTGTGTAGAAAGAGGTAGACATGGGAGACTTTTCATTTTGTTCTGTACTAAGAAAAATTCTTCTGCCTTGGGATCCTGTTGATCTGTGATCTTACCCCCAACCCTGTGCTCTCTGAAACATATGCTGTGTCCACTCAGGGTTAAATGGATTAAGGGTGGTGCAAGATGTGCTTTGTTAAACAGACGCTCGAAGGCAGCATGCTCGTTAAGAGTCATCACCACTCCCTAATCTCAAGTACCCAGGGACACAAACACTGCGGAAGGCCGCAGGGTCCTCTGCCTAGGAAAACCAGAGACCTTTGTTCACTTGTTTATCTGCTGACCTTCCCTCCACTATTGTCCTGTGACCCTGCCAAATCCCCCTCTGCGAGAAACACCCAAGAATGATCAATAAAAAATAAATAAATAAATAAATAAATAAATAAATAAATAAAAAAGAAAAAAAAAAAAGAATTCAAAACATTGATTTTAAAGAATCCCAATGAGATGCAAGAGAAATCTAAAAAACAATACAAAGAAACCAAAAATTCAATTCTGGATATGAATGAGAAATTTACCAAGGAGATAAATATCTTTAAAAACACACACAGCAATTCTGGAACTAGAAAATTCATTGAGGGAAATAAAAATACATTTTAAAGCTTCAATCATGGACTAGATAAAGCAGAAAAAAGACTATCAGAACTTGAAGATAGGTATTTTAAATAATCCAGTAAGAAAATAATAAAGTAAAAAATAAGAAAGAATAAACAAAGCCTTCTGGGATTATATAAAGTGACTGCAAGTACAAATTGTCAGTATTATCAAGGGGGAAGAGAGATCAACAGTTTAATAAATCCATTTGAGAAAATAATTGATGGAAACTCGCCAACTCTATTAAGAGCATTAGACATCCAGATATGGGAGGCCTAGCAATCTTAAGAAAAATACATTACAGAAAGGAATTCACAAGAGTATATTATAATCTAAATGTCTAAAGTCAAAGTGAAAGAAAAAATTTTAAAATTAGCAAGAGAAAAATGTCTAGTCACTTATAAAGGAAATTCCATCAGACTAACGGCAGACTTTCCAGCAGAAACGTTATAGGTCAGAAGAGGATGGACGGCATTTTCAAAGGGCTGAAAGAAAAAAAAACTGTTAGCTGAGAGTTTTATATCCTGCTTGAATAATCTTCAAAAATGAAAGAAAAATAAAGGCTTTCCCAGACAAGCAAGCACTGAGGGAATTTCTCACCATGAGACTGTCCCTACAGGAAATGCACGAAGGGTTACTAAACATAGAAAGAAAAGGTCAATTTTACTATCATGAAAACATATAGAAATATAAAATTCACAGCTCTTATGAAACAGTCATACAAAGGAGGAAGAGGCAGGAATCAAATGGCAACATGGCAGAATTCCATCAAACCACAAAGAAAAAAAGACAGAAATGGAAATAAACAAAGAATGTATAAAACAACTTGAAAAAAACAATATGACAGGAATAAAGCCTCACATATTAATATTAACCTTAAATGTAAATGGCTTAAATGCTCCACTAAAAAGATACGAAGTAGCAGAATGAATATTAAAAAAAAAAGATCCAACTATATGCTGCCTTCAAGAAACTCACCTTACCTATAAAGATACGAAGACTGAAAGTGAATGAATGGAAAAAGGTATTTCATGCAAACAAAAACCAAAAGCAAACAGGAGTAGCTATACTTACATTAGAATAAATAGATTTTAAATCAAAAACAGTAAAAACAAAGATGTAGAAAGTCATTATATAATGATAAAGGGATCAATTCAGCCAACAATCTTAAATATGTATGCACCCAACATTAGAGCACCCAAATTCACCAAACAAATATTACTAAACCTAAAGAAAGAGACAGACAGCAATGCAATAATAGTGGGTGATTTCAACCCCTCATTCACAGTACTAGACTGATTGTCAAGACAGAAAATTAAAAAGAAACATTGGACTTAAACTGAACTTTAGACCAAATGGACTTAATAGCCATTTATACAACATTCTATCCAACAGCTGCAGAATACACATTCTGCAGAATATACATCAGCACATCAAATATTCTTCAAGATAGATTACCTCTTAGGCCATTAAACAATTCCTAACAAGTTTTAAAAAATCAAAATCATATAAATTATTTCCTCAGACCACAGTGGAATAAAGCCAGAAATCAACACCAAAAGGAAATTTGTAAACTAAGCAAATGCATGAAAATTAAACAGTATGCTCTTAAACAATCACTGCATAAATGAAGAAATTCAGATGAAAATTTAAAACTTTTATTGAAACAAATGAAAATGAAAACACAGTGTATCAAATCCTGGGGATACAGAAAAAGCACTGCTAAGAGGGAAGTTTATAACATTAAATGCCTACATAAAAAGGTGAAATACTCACAAATGAACAACATATCATTGCACTTCAAGGAACTAGGAAAACAAGAACAAACTGAACCTAAAGTTAAAAGAAGAAAAGAAATAACAAAGATCAGAGCAGAACTAACTAAAATAGAGACCAAAAAATTACAATCGATTAATGAAAGGAAAAGCTGATTCTCTGAAAAGATAAAATTGACAAATCACTAACTGGACTAACCAGGAAAAGAGAGGTAATCCAAATAAACACCATCAAAAATGAAAAAAGACATAAGTGATAGCATAGAAATACAAAAGATTATCAGAGACTATTATCAACAATACATTCATAAACTAGACAACCTAGAGGAAATGGTTAAATTGGTGGAAATACACAGTCTCTCAAAATTGAACTAGGAAGAAATAAAACTCCTGTACAGAATAGTAATGCATAGTGAGATTGAATCAGAAATAAAAAAATCTCCCAACAACAACATAAAACCAGGACCAGATGGATTCATAGCCAAATTCTATCAAACATACAAAGAATAACTACCAGTCCTCTTGAAACTATTCAAAAATAATCATGGAGGAGAGAATTCTCCGTAACTCATCCTGTGAGGCCAATGTCACCTTGATATCGAAACCAAACAAGGACCCAAAAATCAAAACTACAGACAGATATCCCTGATGAACACAGATCCAAAAATTCTCAACAAAATACTAGCAAATTAAATCCAATATCACGTCAGAAACATAATACACCATAATTAGGTGGGATTTGTTCCAGGGATGCAAGGATGATTCAACATATACAAATTGGTAAATGTGGTACATCACATAAACAGATTAAGGACAAAAACAATATCATTATCTCAACAGACACAGAAAATGCATTCAATAAAATGCAATATCCTTCATGGTAAAAATCCTCAACAAACTAGGCATAGAAGGATCACATCTCACCATAATAAAGGCTATATACAACAAACACACAGCCAACATGATACTTAATAGGAAAAAGTGGAAAGCATTTCCTCTAAGAACAAGTACAAGACAAGAATCCCCACTTTTGCCACTGTTATTCAACATAGTACTGGAAATCCTTGCCAGAGCAAAAGACAAGGAAAAAAAATAAGACATCCAAATTGGAAAAGAGGAGGTAAAAGTATCCCTATTAGCTGATAATGTAATCTCATATCTAGAAAACCCTAAAAACTCCACTGAAAAACTCTTAAATTTGATAAATGTATTCAGAAAAGTCTCAGGGTACAAAATTATCATACTGAAATTAGTAGTGTTTTTATACACCAATAACAATCTAGCCAAGGACCAAATCATAAAGGCAATTCCATTTATTATAGCATCAAAAAAAAAAAAAAAAAACCTAGGAGTATTTTTAACCAAGAAGGTGAAAGAGCTCTATAAAATAACTGCAAACATGAATTAAAGAAATCATAGGTGGCACAAACAAATGGAAAAACATTCCATGCTCATAAATTGGAAGAAACCAATATTGTTAAAATGGCCATACTACCCAAAGCAATTTGCAGATTCAATGCAATCCCTATCAAATTACCAGTCATTTTTCCAGAATTAGAAAAAAAAATCATAAAATTTATATGCAACCAAAAAAAGACCCCAAATAGCCAAAGCAATCCTGAGAAAAAAGAATACAGCTGGAGGCATCACATTAGCTGACTTCTAATTATACTATGAGGCTACCCAAACAGCATGGTACTGGTATAAAAATAGACACATAGATCAATGAACAGAATAGAGAACCCGGAAATAAAACCCCATACTTACAACTAACCGATCTTAAACAAAGTCAACAAAAATATACACTGGGGAAATGACACTCTATTCAATAAATGGTCCTGGGAAAACTAGTTAGCCAATGCAGAAGAATGAAAAAGTCAAAAATCTATAGATATTGGTAAGAATGCAGAGAAAAGGGAATGCTTTTACACTGTTCATGGGAATGCAAATTACTACAACCATTATGGAAAACAATGTGGAGATTTCTCAGAAAACTAAAACTAGAACCACCATTTGATCCAGCAATATCACCACTGGATATATACCCAAAGGGAAATAAAACATTATATTAAAAAGATACCTGCATTTGTATATTTATCATGGCACTATTCCACAAAGCAAAGACATAGAATCAACCTAAGTGTCCATCAATGAAAGACTGGATAAAGAAAATGTGGTGTACATATATGTATACTATGGAATACTACTCAGCCATAAAAAAGAGAATAAAATCATGCCTTCTGCAGCAACACAGAAGGAACTGGAGGCAATTATTTTAAGTGAAACAACTCAGACACAGAAAGGCAGATACTGTATGTTTACACCTATAAGTGGGAGCTAAACAAAGGGTACATGTGAATATACAGAGTGGAATAATAGACATTGGAGACTATAAAAGCTGGGAAAATGGGAGGGGAGGTTTGAGGGCTGAAAAGTTACCTATTGGGTGCAATGTTCACTATTCAAATGATGTGTACATTATAAGCCCAGACTTCACCACTACGCAATATATGTGTATAAGAAATCTGCACTTGTAACCCCTAAATATATAACTATTTAAACAAGTTTAAAGCTGGAAGATAATGTACTTAACGTTTAATCCAATTCTCGATTTTACACATGGGTAAATTGTGGACCAGTGATTTGTCAAAGTTCATATAACTAGTTATAAAAAAAATCACGGGTACAACAGATTTCTTTTGGGTCACAATCTAATATTCTTTCTATAAAATAACATTGCTGCCCTGATATTTTGGTGGTAGTGATGTCTGATTTAGTATTTGGTGTGAAGGCTTTATGTAATATTCTTTGATAATGCATTGACTACTATATCATAAGATAATATGGTTTTTAGATCAAGCCCAATCACAAATTATACAAAATCTTCTTCAGTGGCTGGTAGTTCCTGGAATAAAGGGAGGTTTGTGTCGGTTAAAGAGATGGGGAGGTGCTCCATGCCCTTCTTAGCTTGGACAGCTGTGACAAATTAGCATAGGCTGAGTGTGTTCGACAATAATAAATTATTTCTCACAGTTCAGGAGGCTCAGAAGTCCATGATCAAGGTGTCTGTTGATTCGGTTCTATTGATGGCTCTCTTCCTGATGTGCTGATGGCCATCTTCTCCTTGTATCCTCACAAGGAGGAGAGAGAAATCTCCTATCTCTTCCTCTTTTCCTAAGGGCATGAATCCTATCATGAGGGCTGCATTCTTACGACCTAATCTAACCCCAATTACCTCCCAAAGATCCCACCTCCAAGTACTTTGGGGATTAGGATTTCCTCATATGAATTTTGGTGAGACACAAACATTCAGATCATAACTTTGCCCATGGAAAAAAAATTCCAGCATAGGCCAAATTCAGGGTCATGAGAGAGGAAAACGCTTAATGTACAAAAGGATTGCTAATGGTTACCAAGTTCATTCATTCCTGTAAATGCATTGGCACTCTAACACCATGTACAAATGGCCAGAAATTCATAATGGGTGATATGGTTTGTATTTGTGTCCCCACCCAAATCTCATGTCAAACTGTAATCGTCAGTGTTGGAGAAAGGGCCTTGTCAGAGGTGATTGGATCATGGGGGTGGATTTCCCCTTTGCTGTTCTCATAATAGTGAGAGAGTTCTCAGGAGATCTGGTTCTTTAAAAGTGGGGAGCACCTCCCCTGCTCTCTCTTTGTCCTGCTCCAGCCATGGAGAATGCCCTCCTTCCTCTTTGCCCTCTGCCATGATTGTAAGTTTCCTGAGGCCTCCCAAGCCATGCTTCCTGTACAGTGTGTGGAACTGTGAGTCAATTAAACCTCTTTTCTTTATAAATTATCTAGTCTTGGCCTGGCGCAGTGGCTCACACCTGTAATCCCAGCACTTTGGTAGGCCGAGGCAGGCAGATCACCTGAGACTGGGAGTTTGAGACCAGCCTGACCAACATGGAGAAAACCTGTCTCTACTAAAAATACAAAATTAGCTGGGTGTGGTGGTGCATGCCTGTAATCCTAGCTACTGGGGAGGCTGAGGAAGGAGAATCACTTGAACCTGGGAGGCGGAGGTTGTGGTGAGCTGAGATCGCGCCATTGCAGTCCAGCCTAGGAAACAAGAGTGAAACTCTGTCTAAAAAAAAAAAAATTATCTAGTCTCAGGTAATTCTTTATAGCAATGCAAGAACGGACTAACACAATGGTCAATGGTCAGGAGAGCCTTCTTTTTTCATTTGTCAAAATGTTTAAGTTCAAACTTTTATAATTATGATTTTCTTTTTTTTTTAGACAGAGTCTTGCTCTGTCACCCAGGCTGGAGTGCAGTGGTGCAATCTCGGCTCACTGCAAGCTCCGCTTCTCAGGTTCACACCATTCTCCTGCCTCAGCCTCCTGAGTAGCTGGGACTACAGGCGCCTGCCACCACGCCCAGATAATTTTTTGTATTTTTAGTAGAGACAGAGTTTCGCCGTGTTGGCCAGGATGGTCTCGATCTCCTGACCTCGTGATCCACCTGCCTTGGCCTCCCAAAGTGCTGGGATTACAGGCATGAGCCACCCCGCCCGGCCGATTTTCTTTTTTTTTTTTAAAATTGCTATTTACTCTTTTTTTTCTGAGTATGAAAGTAACATATGCTGTCTGCAAATGTGCTGAGAAACTGAAAATGAGGAAGGAAATACCACCATGAGCAATATAGTGAGACTCCATCTCTAAAAAATAAAATTAGCTGGACATAGTGGTGCATGCCTGTAGTCCCGGCTACTCAGGAGGCTGAAGTAGGAGGATCTCTTGAGCTCAGGCGGTCGAGGTTGCAGTGAGCCATGATTGTGCCACTGAACTCCAGCCTGGGCGTAAGAGAGAGATTTCATCTCTTTAAAGAAAGAAGGAAGGAAGGAAAGAAGGAAGGAAGGAAGGAAGGACAGAAAGAAAATAAAAATCAGCGGTAATCTCATCACTCAAAGAAAGAAAATAATCTTAAAGTTAAGTATTTCTAATATTTTGGAATATGCATAGCATAAGTACATGTTCTTTTTTCCCCCAAATGACAAAATAATTCTCAGAGAGTTCAAATTAAATAAGTGTTTTATGGTAATTTAATTAACATTTCTTCATGCAATAACTAAAGTTATAGAATATAGAAATGCTCAAAATATAACACTAAGGCTGGGCATGGTGGCTTATGCCTGTAATCCCAGCACTTTGGGATGCCCAGTGTAGGCAGATCTCTTGTGGCCAGGAGTTCAAGATCAGCCTGACCAAGAGGGTGCAACCCCGTCTCTACTAAAAATACAAAAAAGTTAGCGGGCGTGGTGATGTGCACCTGTAATATCAGCTACTCAGGAGGTTGAGACATGAAAATTGCTTGAACCCCAGGAGGCAGAGGTTTCATTGAGCTGAGATTGCACCACTGCACTCCAACCTGGGTGACAGCATGAGAGAGAGAGACCCTGTCTCATATATATACATATTTCATATATATGAGATAAACACAGCATATGAACGTTTCTAGAATTTTATACTTGATTTTGGTGAGAGAAAATAAAAACAAAATATTTTTGTAGCCAACAGTTGGCTTTAGAAAGGAGACTGGAAATGTCAGGCATACTTACAGGACTGCATTTAATATTAAAGTGCTGTTGACCAGTCACTCCCAGATTTAGGTTTAATGGCCACTTTTTCAATGTTTACTAGACAGATTTCTCACTAGTCAAGAGGTTTCCACCATACAAGTTATTAATGAAGTTTGCCAGTAGCAGGGTGCTCATTGTATTTAGATTAGCTGCTCCACTCTGAACATATTCTCAGAGATAGATGCTATCACACATCCTCTCTTAAACAATCCAAATGACTTCCATTGGCTTAGATCCAGTTATTTCACCTCAAATAATCTTTGCACTCCTTAGAATACCTTTTAACAGACAGAATACAGTTTGCTTCAAATGAGATACCTTTTGAAAGAGTACAATCTAATTGAAACTGTCTTGAATGTCTTTATTCTAGGCAGCCTCTATTACAATATCTATTTTTACATACACTTTATTTTTCCCATTTTCAAGCTGATTAAAATTGTGAAGCATTAAGCAAAATTATTACACCTTTTGCTTTTCAATATTCTAGACAATTCAAATGATCAACTTATTTTTCAAAATTCATAACAAGAAGGTGAAAATAAATTAATTTGTGTGTGCATATATTCTCTTCTTAAAAATGATAATACATCAGAATGCAGGACTGATGAAGTTCTGTATATTAAAAAAATGCAGATTTTTTTCAAAATATAAAAATATTCTTTTTCTCCCTTTCAGATATGGCTTCCTTCAGACTTTATTTTTAAAAAATATTAATTTAGGCTTTTCTTTACTGTCTTTACATTTTTAAGGTAGTGCGCTAAGATCACAAGCCATTGGTATTTATTGGATTCATTACTATGAAAGGACAGAATTCAGAATAATATAGTATAAAGTTTGGAATCAGGTTCCATTAGTCAGCTTCAGTCCTTACCCTGTTCTTTTTATAACACTTTCAACTTGACATCATTGATTCTCATCCTTTCTCACTTTCCCTCCAGAGAGTCAACTCCCTCTTCCACGTTTATTTCTCCTTACAGCCCATTCCTTAAAAGGCTTAATCCATATATATATATGTATACACACACACACACACACACACACACACACACACACACATATATATATACAAACATACATATGTATATTGATTGTTGTGCAATTAACAAACACATGAATAAATTACCACTGTGAAAGATTAAAACCATACAGCACCATGTAGAATAGAATGCCTAAGTCACTCTCTCACTAGCCACAAGTTCGATTTTCTTAGCAGAGATGTGTCCTGTTAATAATCTAGGATGAAGATTTCTATCTTTTTTCTGTTATATACCTATACATGTATCACTTTAAATAAAAATGAAACCATGATGCATTCACTGTTCTGTGCCATGTATTTTCATTTAACAGTAAATTTTGGAGCTTGTTTCAGATTCTTACATGAGCCAATCTCTCTTTTTTTAATTGTTATATACCATTCCATGGTATTTGACATTTGATATTTTATTTAAATCTCTCCTCTTGATTTACATTTAGTTCTTTTCTGATTTTTTGATAGTTTAAATAATACACAGCTAATACTGTGGCTCACACTTGTAATCCTAGCACTTTGGGAGGCCAGGAGTTCAAGATCAGCCTGGCCAACATGGTGAAACTCCGTCTCTACTAAAAATACAAAAATTAGCTGGGCATGGTGGCGGGCGCCTGTAATCCCAGCTACTCGGGAGGCGATGGCGGGAGAATCACTTGAACATGGGAGGTGGAGGTTGCAGTGAGTGGAGATTACACCACTGCACTCCAGCCTGGGCGACAAGAGCAAAACACCATTTCAAGAAACAAACAAATGAAACTGTAACCAACTGCTCTACTGGAACCAACTGCTCTTTCTAGAATGAAGAATTATGGTTGGAGCAATGTTACAAAATACAACATGAAAAGCAAATCAACCTGAGAATAACAACTAAAATTGAAGGAAGTTCTGCAGAATCTAATTCAAGGATGAAATCAAATGAACTGTATGACACAGGAAGGTGCTGGAGCAGTCTGAGCCCTAAAAAAGTCCCAAAACTAATAAACTAAAGGCTTCTTCTAGTGAAAAGACCAATATGGAGAACTTTGTAGGAATTGAATCAAATTTGAGAAGGACAGGATTAAAATAGGGGGACAGAAAGATGATCAAGGTAAGGGTTGTGCTAACTTTTACTGCAGAGACCAAGAGTAAATATTTCAGGCTGTGCTAGCCGAAGTCTCCATCACAACTACTCAGCTCTGAAATTGCAGCCTAAAAGCTGCTAAAGGCAATAGGTAAACCACTGGCTGTGGCTGCATTTTGATAAAACATTATTTACAAAGCAACTAGTGGGCCAGATTGTCCCATGGGTTACTGTGTTGGAAGGGAACAGACAAGACAGTTCTCAGGAAGTGTAAAGACATATATTGATTATTTTTAAAGTAATAAAAGTGGAAACTCTGAAGCGGTGAAGCTAAAATTTCACTTGACCCAGTATTACCTCCTAAAAATACAAAAAAAAAATTCATCTCATTTTAAAACAAGGGAAAGAGGGAAAAAAATAATAAAAATGGAAGAAAGGATTGTGATCAAATTTTATAAAAAGTTATAAGATAATAAGAATAAAATACATAATAATATACATCTAGACTATTGTGGAGTCCTACTAAGTAAGCAACAATGAGGAAGGGGCCCAGAGTTGGGGAGAACAATGTTTTGAGAAATGGCTAATCACAGACAACCTGCTGGCACAACATCCTGTTCCCAAATATCTGCCTCCACATGTAGCCCCAGCAGCATGACCTCATTCCTCATGTAGCCCCTACAGCATGACCCTGTAAAACTTTCCTCCATCCCCTGCCTCTTGGCAGACAGTCTTCTCTCTGCTGTGCTGCCCACTGCACTCTTGCAACGTATCTTTGTACTTTAATAAGCCCCTCCAGCACAACTCTATAAAACTTCCCCCCAGCCCCTGCCTCTTGGCAGACAGCCTTCTCCTGCTGTGCTGCTGCTCATTGCATTCTTGCAATGTATCATTGTACTTTAATAAATCCGCCTTTCTTTACTCATTACTGTCTTGGTCTTTTTTTTTTTTTTTTTTTTTTTAAAGACACAGTCTCACTCTGTCACCCAGGCTGGAGTGCAGTAGCTTCATCTTGGCTCACTGCAACCTCTGCCTTCCAGGTTCAAGCAATTCTCATGCCTCAGCCTCCCAAGTAGCTGGGATTACAGGCACATGCCACCACACCCAGCTAATTTTTTTGTATTCTTAGTAGAGACAGGGTTTCACTATGTTGGTCTCAAACTCCTGACCTCAAGCAATCCACCTGCCTCGGCCTCCCAAAGTGCTGGAATTACAGGCTTGAGCCACTGCGCCTGGCTCTTGGCAAATTCTTTTACTGTCCATGATGCTGGCCCCAGCCAGTTGTACCTGTGACAGCAATGAAATCACAGGGAATGATACGTTCAGAAAAATATAACCTGATACTTTAAAATGAGATAAAAGAAATTAGAAAAAATATAAAAATTAAAAATCTATAAACACAAACAAGTATCAAAATTAGAAAAATTCCAGAATAAGGCATTTGAAATAGGGAAAATTTGAAGAGATGTGATAGAATCCAAAAAAGAAATCAGAAATCAAAGAAGAAATTTCTTGCAATAAATACTAAATTAAAGGCATATAAGAGAGAATAAACAGAATGGTTGATACCTTAAAAAAAACACAGAAAATATAAAGAAGAATATTTTTCAGTAAAAAAAAAACAATTACAGAAAGTGATCAGGATAGAAAAATGACCAAAAAAGAAAAAGAAAGCCAAGACATATATATATGTGTGTGTGTGTGTGTGCATGTGTGTGTGTGTGTTCTTGAAAAAGAAAACCAAAGCAATAGAATGAAACAAAAACTAAAGAACATGATTCACAAAAATGTTTTCACCATGAAATCAATCTAAAAATACATACGGAAATGTACATTCTGTACCTTGGAAAACTGACCCAAATAACAAAGACCAATATACAGTCCAGGAAATTATTGGACTTTAAAGTTTTATGTGCATACATGTGTATACACACACACACACACACACACACACACACACACACATATACAGGCACTTAGACAAAATGAAGTCTAAGTCACTTACAAAAAATAAAAACAAAATTATATTGTCATCATGCTTTATACCATATGTCAAAGGAGTAATAAATTTAAGTTACTCAAGAAAATGTGAGCTAGAATTTTATCTAGTCAAAATGACCTTTGATTCTAAAAGCTATCAATGAAACTTTATGAATGTTCAAGAACTCAGGCAATATTGTTCCTTGTGCTTTTCTGTATTAGTCAGGGTTCTCCAAAGAAACAGAACTAACTGAAGAAAGACATAGATAGATAGATTATAAATAGATAGACAGGTAGATAGATAGATAGATAGATAGATAGATAGATAGATAGATAGACAGACAGATAGATAGATAGATCTTCATCATGAGAAATTGGCTCACAAGATTATGAAGGCTAGGAAGTCTCACAATCTGTGATCTGCAAACTGGAGAACAAGAAAAGCTGGTGGTACAATTCTGTCAGAGTCCAAAGGCCAGAGACCCAGGGCAGCTGATGGTGTAATTTCTAGTTGAGTCTGAAGGCCTGAGAACTGGAGGGAGTTGGGGGAAGATAAGAGAGGCCAGGGAGGGTACAAAGAGATGACCTTTGTCTAAGTCTCAGACTCTGAAGACCTGAGAACCAGAAGCTCTGATGTTCCAGGGCAGAAGACAGATGTTTGAGCTCAAGAAGACAGAGAGTTCTCCTTTCAGCCTTTTTGATCCATTTGAACCCTCAAAAGATTGGATGAGGCCTGTCCACATTGGTGAGTGTGGACTTCCTTTACTCAGTCCATCAATTCTCTTCTCAAGACATCCTCAGACACACACCCAGAAATAATACTTTATTAGCTGTTTGGGTATCTCTTAGTTCACTCAAGTTTAAAATTAACCGTCACACCTCCCTGCAGAACCTCCTAGAGAACAAGCTTCAGGAACTGAAATGATTGGAGAGGCATTCAGCAAAGGGCTGGGAGGTCTTCAAATATCACATAATTTTGAAGACCAAAGAAAAAGAGAAGTACCTAAAAACAAACATCAAAAAGGCAGATTATTTTCAAATTTGCAAAAATTAGACTAACAGCTGAATTTTTATCAGCACCAGTAGATACCAGAGATGATGGAAAAATATATTTAATAAGTTAGAATAAAGGAATTGTAAACCATGAATTCTACCCCTAGGGGAAATAACTTTTTTAAGAATAATTTATAATGAAAGAAAAGACATTTTTAGGCAAACAAAACTTGAGAGTTAGCCACGAAAAGATCCTAACTAAAGGAATTTCTAAAGGCAGAAGAAAATGATTCCAGATGGATGGTCTGAGATTTCAGAAGAAATGAAGACCAAAAAAAGGTGGTAAATGTGTTGGTTTATCTAAACAAACATGGCTGACCCTTGAACAATATGGGTTTGAACTGCCCAGTTTCACTTATGTGTAGGTTTTCTTCCACCTCTTCCACCCTCAAGACAGCAAGACCAGCCCTCCTGTGTTCCTCTTCTACCTCAGCCTACCCAATGGGAAGGCAATGAGGATGAAGACATTTATGATGATCCACTTCTACTTAATAAATAGTAAATCTATTTTCTCTTCCTTATAATTTTCTTAAAAACATTTTCTTTTCTCTTGCTCACTTTATTATAAAAATATAGTATGTAATACTTATATGATGCAAAATATGTGTTAATCAATTGTTATATTATCGATAAGGTTTCTGGTCAACAGTAGGCTCTTAGTAGTTACGTTTTGGGGGAAATCCAAAGCTATATGTGGATTTTTGACTACATAGGGGGTCGGTACCCCAACCCTCTGCTTCAACAGGGTGCTTTAACAGGGTGCTTATGGGAGTCTGCTGACAGATAGCTATACCAATTTCACTATTAACTTTTTAAGGCTAGTTCACATTTTGTTCAAGGGTCAACTCTGTAATCAAAAATTAAGTGTATAATGCAACACTAATACTATCTCGGGTAGAAAAAAAACAGAATTTTAACATCCAAATAATACTAAAACACAGAATGAAAATAGCAACTAAGTCAGCAGAGTTTGGGAATGTAAGGACATGAGCCACTCACCGGGGGATGGAGTGAAGCACTTTAGTATCTAAAGGCAATTGCAACGTACTTGAGTTTTTGTTTTGTCAGGCTGTGCATAGTGTACATATTTTATAAAATTATTATATATATATATCTTTTCGTATTAATACAAACAAATCTTTAAAGGAAAAACCACAAATCTCAATGGTTGATTCAGATCAGTAACGGTATTCTTTAGAAAGGTAACTGAAAGAGATATTTCTTTCTCAATCTACTGTCAAATTTATCAGTTGTGATATACTAATAAGAGAGTATGATTTTTTTTCAAAGGTCCTGATGTTTTTCATGCTGTTCAAGCCAAGTGTAAGAAAAAGACATTAATTTTATCTTTTTTTCCTTTGAAAGTTTCAGCTGGAATGAAACTCAAGTCAAAATGATATAGAGAATTAACTACTTTCTTTATTTGATATGGGCTTTTCCCAGCTAATATCTAGCCTCTTTTTTTTCTGTATATTAAGATAATTATAGTCATTAGCAGTACATTGTGGTAGAGATACTATCACTATCATAGTTTCCTATGAACGTTTTCATGGTACCTAAAGCGAGAAAATGCAAAAGTTTGTCCTCAGAGAGCTTTAATGCAATGATATATTAAGTCAGCACTTGGCATGAGAAGGGAGGAGCAGAGACAATGGAAAAAAGAACTCGGAAGCTTTAAATGTAAATGAACGTTAATCATGAAAAACACTGATTAAAGTGTAATGATATAAAAGTTAATCTAGCTACCATGCAATTAACTCAAAATTACAACCATATATTGTATGTGTAATCACATCCTAAGAAACATATTACATTTAAAAAAATGAAACTGCTTTAACAGGGTGCTTATGGGAGTCTGCTGACAGATAGCTATACCAATTTGATAATTAACTTTTTAAGGCTAGTTCACATTTCGTGTTCCTAATTAATGCCTACTTAATTTTTGATACATTCTATATTAGGTTAAGTGCCAATTAAACACTGCAGGCTCTAAGAGTAAAAAAATTCTCAAAACCTCAAAAACATGTGATTTTATCCTTAGATTGCTGTACAGAAATCTATTCAGTGACTAAGAATATCACTTTCTCACTAACAACCTAATAAATTCATCCTTGAATGAAAGTATTAAAAAATAAAACATGATTGGCTGTGATGACCTCATGAATTCAAGTGATTGAGATGATCACTCTGATGATAGTTTCTAATTATATAGTCACTTGTAAAAGTTTATTTAAGCAACTTTCACCAAATCCACTAATAATCTCTGCACAGTTTCATCAGATGTACTAAATTATGTCTTCATCTGCAAAGGAAAGTAGTAGAGCCCAGGCTTGTAATCTAATCCAAGAGCACCATGGAAGACAGAATGCCGAATGCACACCAGACCGGGAATCAGAAGACATTGAGTGAAACACTTAGCAAGTTTCTGTTTAATCTTAAGCCTCAGTTTCCTTCTTCATGTAATGGGAATGGCAATGTCCACCTGAAAGAGGGGTTGTTAGGATTAAATAAACATGTCTGACACACAGCAGACAACATGTACAACAAACAATATTCATACTTAACCTTTGCCCCGAAAGTAACCTAAGTTTTTTGAATGTACAAGCATGTCCCTGTGATTCTCATAACAGTGCTGTGATTGATACTTTTCTTCCCATTTTACAGATGAGAAATCTCAGGTACAGAAAGCTTAAGTAACCACCTACCAAATGTCACACAGCTAGTGACTGGTAGAGCTGAGTGACGAACCCAGGTAGTCTGGCTCCAGAACCCAAGCTCTTAACCACTATGCCATACAGTTCAGTAAAGGTGGACTGGATTTGCAAGTAATTTTCCCATCACTGTTCTCTGCAGTGTGGCTTTGCTTCTTAAAATCGTGTGCTCTTAAGTCTGCAGGATATTGAATGTTGTGTACCCTATGCTTTTATCAACTCCTGAATAATGAGGCAAATTTTCCTAAATCTGCAATTAGAAGTACCTTAAAGGAAAAATAATCAGAATTAACACATTGTAAGCAAATTTATTTATATATATATAATGTATATTATATTTTTAAGTACATTTTTATTAAAGTATCACATATATAATAAAATGCACAAATTATTAGTGTATAGCTAAGCGAATTTTAAAGTAAACACATTCAGGAACCAGCACCCACATCAAAAATAGATCAGAAGTCCACCTTTTCTCACTCACTAAATAAGGTTGATTACTATTCTCTAAGGTTGATGACTATTCTGATTCCTAACATCATATATAATTTTTTGCTTATTTTTGCAATGTATAAATGGAAACATACCTTATGAATCGTCTTGTCTTTTTTTCTGATTTCATTCAGTTAATATTGAATTTGTGATATTTATTCATTTAATTGTACCTAGTTACATCTCATTTTTTCTCATTGCTCTATAACATTTCATTATATGAAGATGCCACAGTTTATTAATCCATTCTATATCTCAGGTATGTCCATCTTCAGTAAATACTGCCACTGATTTTTACAAAAGAGTTGTACCAGTTTATATTCCCACAAGCAGTTGCTCCATATCCTCATTAGCACTTACAACAATCTTTCTTCATTTTAGTCATTATGCTTCAATTTGTGGTAACATTTTGCTGTGGTTTTAATGAATAATGGTTTGAAGAATTTACATTTTTACAGGCAACTTTGCTGTCTTCATTGTGAAGTTTTTGTTCAAAACTTTCCATTTTACTTGAGTGTCTAACTTATTAGTGAGTAGCTGGTTGTGTTGCAAATAATATTCCTCACTCTGTCTGTTATGTTTCCATTGGTTTAACGATGTGGTTTAATGAACAGTAATTACTACTTTTAATGTAATCTACTATCTTTTCCTTACTGAGTAGTGTTTTTGTTACCTGTTTTAGAAATCTTTTCCTACTCCATGACATAAAGTTACTGTCTTTTGCTACTTTCTGAAAGTTTTGCTTTACCTTTCACATTTAGCTCTTCATTCTAGTTGAAACTGATTTTTATGTGAGGTACAGATCAAAATTTGTCTTTTAGAATGTAAATATTCAATATACCCAGCACCCTAAAATCCCAAATCCTCTGAAATATTGTGTAGTAAGTTAAGGGTCGATTTATATCTTTGATTTTTAGGGGCTAATTAATCTGTTTATTTTTTATTTATCATTCGCCAATAGCCACACTATTTTTCTTAGCATAACATCTTATCTTGTTGAAAATGTTTTTCTACATGATTCTTCTTCAAAAATGTCTCATTCTAGGCATTTTGAATTTTGATACAGATTTTAGAATTATTTGCCAATTTTCACACACACACAAAAAACCTGTGGAATTTTTATTAGAGTCACATTAAATCTTTAACTCAATTTGTGAATAAATGACATTGTTATAACACTGGGCTACTTAATGAGAAGAGTATTATTTCAATTTATTTATATCTTCTTTAATTCCTTACAACGAAATCTTACTTTGGTATCTAGAGCTCATTTTTACATCTTTTCTTAGATTCATTCCTATATATTTGATAGTTTTGGTCCTTTCATAAATGGTACTTTTTAAATCAAATTTTTCTATTTGCTTGCTTCTGGTATATGTAAATTAATTGAGTTTTGTATAATGAACTTATATCCAACAACCTAAGCTGTAATTAATAATTAGAATTATTATTATAACTTACCTGTAGATTATTTGTAAATTTTTATTAATAATATTATATAGCCTCAGAGAACTATAGTTTTATTAACTCTTTTGCCTTTTTAAAACTGAAGAGACAAAGTTGATTTTAAATCAATTTTCTTAAAGTTGATTTTCCCTTCATTTTAGTTTCTGTATTTGTTATCTTTTAGATGCATTTTTGGTAAGCACTAAAGAATTATGTTTTACTTGTTATTATCAAGTCTGATTCTTGCTTACTTTTTAGTACACCACCATTTGGCTACTGTATTACAACATCAAATTATCTTGGCTAGTGACCTTCAAATCAAACACAGACTCTCAATTCATATATTCCTTGTTTCTGTTTTATCTGACATTTCTGACCACTTGTTATATCTTAAAGTTCCTTCCTTCCCTCATTTGTTTCAAATATGACACACTCCTCTGGTTCTTCTCTATACTTTCAACAGTTATTTTTCCAGCTATTTTTTTGGCTCTTCTTGTGCCCATGCTTGAAGCAGTAGGATTTTCTATGTCTTGCATCTGTAATCTATTGCTCTTCCCATTCAACTTGCTCTGCCGTGGGGTTTTCATTTGTGCTAACATATTTATTTTCTCCCTGATGCTGGTAACTTCTAAATATATATCTTTACGTCTGATCTGTCCCTACAAATCTTATAAAAAGATTTGTCTGCTAACTATAAAATCTACTTGGACATTGCACAGGCATCTTATACTTAAGATGGTCATAATTATAATAATTATTATATTTTAAGATCTACTCCTTCATCTGAACTTCTGATTTTATTTAATGCACCCATAAATCTATTAATAAGTAAAACAATGTATACTAACCTTAGGTTCTTTTACGATACACTTGGTCCTGAAACTATGGAGCTCTTTGTATGGGTAAATTCTTGCATGGGAACCCAATTTGTAAGTTAGGGAAAAGCAGAGCTGTACGTTTTCAATGTGTTGAAGTGTGTGTTATTTGGGGAAGTGGCTGCAGAGGTGGAACATGGATTTCCATTTCTTTTGGCTTCCTTTTTACAATTGATCATAGTAACGACTGTAAAAATGCAGTCATAAAACCACTTACCTAAAAATAATTTACGCTGGCACCATACTCCTTAATTGAGAATACCACTTAATATTTTATGATGTAATTACAGCAAATACCCCTATTTCCCCTCTCTCGCACACAACGAGCTGTTTTTCATGTAAATGTTTCTTGGTTTTTCAGTTTCCTTGGAATGCTTCTCCCCTTTTCTCAATTGGTGACTCTTTTTCACTTTTTAAAAAGTCAACTAAGGTGCAACTTTCTGTAGGAAATCCTAATCCTATGTCACAGTCAAAAGGTATCTCAGTATGTTTTTATAAGAGTCTGCGGAAGCATGAAAATCACGGTTGAAATTATATGAAAATTAGGCTTCAAATTCCTCAAAGACAGGGTGCAGGTCTTTGTTATTTCTTTAGTGTTCAGCAGATTGCAATAATTATGGTGAATGTCAATAAATGTTTATTGAAATGTTGAACTAACCTGCCTTGTAGTGCATAGACTTCAAAAGCCAATATAAGAAAATTGAATATTTAGTAAAATTGACTTGTAGATTGCAAAGAATTTTCAACTCAATTTAAAAAATTTGATTTCCACAAGAATTTTACAAAATTGAAATCACAACTATTATCCTAATTTACAGGTGGAAAAAAAAAAAGAAGCCTGGAAATGTGTGAGTTTTCTACCATATATCTAGTTAAAAGCAATACCAAGTAAAGTTCAAAACTATGTTTTTAGAATATGAAACTGAATATTTCTTAAAGTCTATCAAATTTTTATTCATTGTAGGATGATCAAGATTTGTGGGGAGTCTCACGTAGTATTACTTTTGCCTTCCAAACAATTCCTTGCAGGTTTTAATGATGTGTCAGTGTACTGATAATATCCAAGGAAGTAAATTAATCCTATCTTACTATAATGTCATTGTATTAACATACAATTTTATCTTTGTCCATTCTTTAAGATCTCAAAATGCTTAATTTCCTCTTTTCAAATACTCTCACATGTGTACAATAATGAGGCCTATAGCAACTTGACTTTGTTTCTATGGAATTTATTTTCCTTGTTACCTATTTCCAGCCGTAAGTACCATATGGAAACTTCTTCCTGAATGTACCCCCTCTGCCTCAGTCCATGTAGCTTTGAGCCCACTTAGAGCCCTTGTTTTCTTAGACCCTTTCTTTAACTTTGGTGACCAATCTTTTTACGCTATACCTTGTCTTAGAGCTCCTCCATGTTCTTCTCTTGAATTACGCCTCTATTCATACAAGTTGCAATTTTCTCTAAAGATCAAGAACCACTTCTCTGATCTCCCCACTGGTGTTGTTTCTATATTTAAATGGGATATTTTACCTTGCTTTATTTTTTTCTTGCTGTTCTTAATCACATTTATCACAAGTGGTCAAGTAATTTATGTGAATAAAAGAAAAATACTTGACTTCAGTTTAAATTTGGGCATAGAATTT
The DNA here is from genome assembly GCF_000001405.40 of Homo sapiens. Taxonomy (NCBI): domain Eukaryota; kingdom Metazoa; phylum Chordata; class Mammalia; order Primates; family Hominidae; genus Homo; species Homo sapiens. The sequence goes on from NC_000006.12 coordinate 22,857,783, forward strand.
TAGATGGCCATAATTGTTGCTGTGGAAAGTTTTGCCCCAGAACGTTTTCAAAAAAATATTTATTGGAACCCAGACTTAGCATCAACTTTCATGAGAATCACAAGTTTATTATTGTTCTGAAACATTTGGCCTACTTTAAAGCCAAAAATCGGTGTACTGTAGATATTTTTATTTATATAAATTATCTATAATTATTGCTTTATGCATATTTTCAAGATAAAACAGGAGTTTTAATAATATTGAGCTATAGCATGATAAATGTATCAATTTACAATGCTTAACTTGATTAGAATCTCCTTGATTAGATATCTTCTTGCTACTATTACCCTAAAAAACTTTGTTACAAAGTAAAACCTCCATTAATTACTATTCAGTGCTAGGAAAATGTTGTAAGGCATTTTTTTTTTGCCATCAGGCCAAGTCCAATCATTCATTTGACTAAACTGAACTACACAAAAGCAGAGACTTATCTTAATGACCACAGTACTTCCATTACATAGAACAATCTCTCCCATCAGATCAGTATTCATAAAGGCTTGCACAATGAATGAATCTTAGCTTTCTAAGGAAAAGACAATATTGGATAGATCTTAAGAAGTCTACTTACTAAAGTTTGTCTTAAAGTTTCCTTTTAATTTTTATTATATCAATTGAACTAAGTTGATGAGGGAGATGAAGGAGAAAGGTGATAGTTTAGATCACTTCATATTGTTCATTAACCATCAAATAATTAGACTAATATTACATATATGTTCACACACACATATATATATACGTATATATACATATTAGTCAAATAGACTAATATTGCATATATGTTTATACACATATATAAAATATATGTCTTGTTTTGAAGAGTCAGGTTATGCTATGTTAAATAAAAACATTATGAGTTTTTTCTTTTGGAGCTGAACTGAGAATTATTACCTGATTGTGTATGTCTTGTGTTGAAGAGTTGGGTTGTGCTATATTTGTTTATTTTTTATTTATTTTTATTTTTATTTTTTAAGATGAAGTCTCACTTGTTACCCAGGCTGGAGTGCAGTGGCGCAATCTCAATTCACTGCAACCTCCACCTCCTGGGTGCACATGATTCTCCTGCCTCAGCCTCCCGAGTAGCTGGAATTACAGGGGCCCGCCACCATGCCCAGCTAATTTTGGTAGTTTTAGTAGAGATGGGGCTTCACCACGTTGGCCAGGCTGGTCTTGAATTCCTGACTTCAAGTGATCCACCCACCTTGGCCTCCCAAAGTGCTGGGATTACAGGCCTGAGCCACCATGCCTGACCAGGTTATGCTATAGTAAATAAAAATATTATGAATTATTTGGAAATTGAATTGAGAATTTTGACCTGATTTGTTGGATGTGTATAGTGGTAGGCTAAAGATAAAGGACAATTAAGCATGTCCTTTCTGAGTAATTACGACTTTTCGGTTCACAAAGAACAATTTATTAATGTCACATTTGGATCAGGTTAATTAAAGAGACAGACTAAATAAGTGCTGTGCCACAGAGCATCTATAAAGGCTCTGCAAGGCCCATGGTTTGCATTTGAAGAATACGATTCAGTGTTATAGTTAATTGCAAATGATAATACTACTTTGAGGGCCATATTAGACACACAGGCTAATGAATTTTTTTTATCATAGCTTTTGTATCCCCAGAGGGTCCTAGTCGCAGTAATAAAAGCAAAATCATAGTCTTTCTTACCTCATAAACGTAGTTTACATCCTTTGTATATGTCTTACTAGTTGAGTGAGTTTAGCCAACTTACATAACCCCTGTAGATCCGCTAAAAAAGTGAATAAATAAGACTAACTTCAAAGAGTCTGAGCTGATACAGCAACAACAATGAAGTATGGATTGGCAACTTATCCCATAGGAAAAATGTTCTATAAGTGCTGCACATTTTATTCAATAAATGTTTGTAGTAATTAATACAATTGGGAATTCTCTCACTGAACTTCTCTCCATTGTTCCCATGCATATACATATGCATAGTGCTTTGTCACTATGCATATATATAAGTCCTTTATTTGAACATGACATCAAGGATTGATGTCTGCCTATCATGTGAAGGACATAAATATATAACATTGTACTGGTCTTTTATCTGGTCCTCATTTCATGTAAAACTAACCTTCTATTACTAACCTCTGTCACACATTTTTATCTTTGTTAATGTAAGCCAAAAATGATTGAATTTGCACATTAAGATAATATAATTAGAAATAATGAAGTTACTATCAGATTATTATTCAAGCAAAATTATTCCAAATTAATTGAAAAGAGAAATGGATATAAGCAAAAAGATGAGAACAAGGACTGTAAGAGTCAAAGGGCATCCAGTATGTTTTATCAGTATTCATGCAGAGTTTTCATGATAATGTGTTAGCTTTTTATATAGTTCAAGGTCCTGATTTATTTTCGATACAAATAGTCAAAAAATTTGTATATCCTATTGCATTGCTTTGCAGATAATTCTATAGACTTAGTGGACTGAGTCCAAGGGTGTATGATTTGCAGCAGAAATTCAAGCATAAAAGTCCCTGTTGTTAGCATCCCCAGCAACTTTAAAACTCGGCTGTGAAATCTCAGCCCTTGTCCCAGAAAGACTATGGGTCACGGTGGAAGGAAGAAATGGCGAGGCGGCTTTATATATCTGTGTGTGGGAGGAAGCTCTTTCCATTAATAAGCAGGCCTTTAATCTCCTGAGCCCATTTCCCCAGCAGTCAATTCACCTAGAAAAATAAAATGTCATTTAATTGGCAGAAAAATTGCTTAAATTCTGTGTGACAAACTCAAAGAAATACATTCTGTACATGGAAAAGCAAAGAGAAAAGGATACAAATTAAATGTTAATTATAAAGGTGATTAAAATGTAATAATATACAAAATTCAGCTAGTTCCTTAGTAACTGACACAAAATTATATAACTTTGGGATATATAATCACAATCAAACTAATATTATAAACTTAAAAAATAAATTGCTTAAAATTGATGCTTAGGCTCCATTGTGTTGACAGCTATCTACTCAATCTGTAGAGAATGCTAATTTGATAGGAATGACTTGCATTGAAAAGTCAGTTCAGATTTTGGGTTAATTGGCATCCACTTAACTTGTGAAGTCTACCTTGTTAAATATAAATGTTTTAAAAAATTAATGCCAATAGATGTGAAAAAACCATTTGACACAAGGCGGCAATTAACTACAGTATATAAAACCAAAATTCAAAAGTCTGGAAGTTGGTAAAGATGCAAACTTCTTTACTTGCCCTTGAATTTACAAATCAATCATACGTCAAAATGAAATGCAAGAAAATAACCTGCCAAATCGTATATGGGAGAAATCAGAAAATCCAGAGGAAATGGAAGTGCAAAGATTGTAACAGAAAAGAATGAAAGAATAATGAAAGAAGTCCAGATACTCTCAAAAAAGTCATGTACCTGTTTTTAGCTTATATCAAATATTTAAATTTATTATTGTTTAACATCTCTGAAGATTCATCTTTTATGCATTATGCTTTTGTTAATATCAAGTCATATTGCATAGGTATATTTTAGTCTAGAAGATTATACTAATGAAAAACTTTAGTACTAATAATTATAATAGCATGTTTCTTCTCTCTTTTCTTTTGGATCTTTCATATTTCAACTCAGCATATACTAATTCATGGTCTCTTGAATTTGAACCAAGCACTGTAGTGGTTACTGGGCAAGTCTCTCTCCTAAATCAAGTATCTACACGGATAGGAATGAAAGGGTTTAACAATTTCTGGAGGACTTATTCTGTTGACAATTTTTCAATAGCCAATGAGGACAAATGCAAGTAAGTTTAAATCAGGAAAGATGATCTGGAGCCAAGTATATAAAGGACCTTGGCAAAGGGTTCTAAGGAAGCACAGAATAGTAAAATATGGACTACAGCTGGAGTTAAGGGCCCAAAAGCTTTTATTCATTTTGGTGTTACCTCAGAGCCATGAGGTTGAGAGAGGTTAAAGAATTTGCGAAGTGAACAAATATGAAATGAATAAGACACAGTTCTGGCCTCTAAAGAATGTTTAATATCCTATTTTTTGATATTGTAATGGTAGATGTGATCACTCGTCTTATTTAGTGCACTGTTAAGACTGTAAGTTCAAGCTTTAATTCACCTAGTACAGATCCTAGCTCTGCAGCTTGCTCTGGTTGACTGTGTACATTACTGAAATTGTCTGTTCTCAGTTTCCTCATGTTTAAAATGGGATTAATAATAGTACCTATCTTACAGGAATTTTATATGAATAAAATGTGATAATGTGTCTATAGATCTTAGAGTAGTGCCTAGGATATAATGAGAAATCACTATATCATATGTTTACCTCCCAAGCAGATTCTAGGTTCCTTTAGAAAAAGAGACCCACATTCATCGTCACCTATATCAAAAACAGAGCATTTATCTACTTTTGCAAGACTTATCTTTCTTTCATTCATTCAAGAACTGTTCTTTGTGTTCTCCTTACCCTTCTATAGTGGTGTTTGAGACTGGAATGCCAGACAGGCATGGCCTCTTCTCTCACTGAAATTATAATCCATTGGAGAAATGCAGACAAGTCAATGAGTAATTTTAAAACAGTGAGTACACGTTATTGTAAGAGAGGTCCACAGTGTTGTGGAAAAAGTTGAGGAGATATCCAATTTAGATGTCAGTTTTCCGGAGAATCATACTGCAGAAAATGACTTTTGACTTCAAATCTGGTAGAAAGGGCAACAATGGGGAGAAAAACTACTGCCAAGAGAGAGGATAGTATGCCCAAAGTGTAGGACTAAAAATGGATATGCTATAAGAATATGCTTGAGAAAAGTGAAGAATTGTAAGTATGAGGTAAACAGGAGAAAAACAGGAAAAGTGGGGAATGATATTGGAGCGGGAGGCAGGATTCAGACCATTCAGGACTTTGTTAGCCACACTGAGCATCTTTGACATTATCTTAAAGGAAATTAAGAATACATTAAAGGGTCTAAGCATGAGAGCTATGTGATAAGATTTGTATTTTCTTAAGACTATTTTTGCTGCTTATAGAGAATGGAGTGAAGGGAACGTGAATAGAAGCAAAGGTAACCATGAGAAGACTCTTAAGAACCACTGGAAGGACATAATGTGTCCTCACTATAGAATGGGTAGAGGGATTAGGCAAAGTTTGGTTTTGAAAGTTATTTAGGATGTCATATTATTATGCATCCTGGATTAATTTGATATGCACAGTAACAGAACAGAGAAGGACAATCAAATGGATGATAGTATTCTTGAGCATTTATTTTGCATCCAGTCGCTCTATATGTATCCTTGCATTTCATCTTCAAAAACTCCATGAATGAGGGATAACATTATTATTTTCACTTTACAGATGAAAAAAATGAGGTGCATGCTCCAGTTAGGTAACTTTCCCAGAAACACATAATTTGCAAATGGTGGAGCCAGGATGCAAATCCAGATGGAATAACTTTAGAGCGTATTAATTAACTTGGATAGAAAGAGGCAACTTAAGAGGGGCATTATTTGGGGGCAAAGAAGATGGTCATATTTGAGACCTGACAAATATAAGAAGGTTGTAGGTTAAGTAAGTGAAGATAAGGAGGCAGACAGCGTAGCACAGTGATAAAGAACATGGTTGTGAAATCAGACGTGGATTGAGATCTCACTCTGTCAATTATCACCTCTGACCAGAGGCAAATTACTTAATCTCTCTGGGCGTTACAGTACCTTATGTATAAAACAGAGATAACAATGGGGATGTTGGGAAGATTAAATGATAGAATTCCTATAAAACACTTGCAAAACAGATTGGTTGCCCTATACTCCATTTTCAATTAATGTTACTACTGTACTTACTACTATTTTGAATAGGTTGTTAAAACATGAGTTTTGAATTCAGGGGAAAGTCCCCCCAAAAGTATTGTCTTAGCTTATTCATTCAGGCTTCTACAACAAAATACCATAGAGTGGGAGGCTTATAAACAACAGAAATTTAACTCTCACAGTTGTAGAGGCTGGGAAGTCAAAGACCAATGTACCAGCAGATTCAATGTCTAATGAGGGCCCATTTTCTGACTGATAGGTGGCTGTCTCTTTTGCTGTGCTCTCTCATGGCATAATGGATGAGGGACATCTCTGGGGTCTGTTTTTAAGAGGACTAATCCCATTCACAAGGGCTTTGCTCTTATGACCCAAACACATTCCAAAGGACCCATCTCTTAATATCGTCACTTTGGAGGCTACGATTTCAACATAGAAATTTTGAGGGGATATTAACAATCACTCCATTGCAGGTATCATCAAGGTATAGACAGTATTTGAGAACCTGGGAGCATAGAAAGCTATCTGGGATGATCAAGAAAGAATGAGAACAGACCTCTGAAAATACAAATTTAATTTGAAAGAGCTCACAAAAATTTATGCATTAAATAATAATATCAAAGCATAAAAAGCACAGAGAAAATGATAGTACTCAAAATTAACATCTCTAAAATGTTTCCAGATTTAAAAGAAAAAAAAAATGCAGCTACAAAGGAATGAGCACAAAGCTAGCAAAAGAAATCTTATCATCAGCATGGCAGGTGGCACAGGAAGTGGAGGATAGGTGAGGGTGGCACCTTAATGCACTGAAGGAAAATTATTTTCAAGTTAAAATTTTATACCCAGCCAAAATATTGGTAAAATGTGATAGTAAAGGCATTTTTGGATATGCAATGACTTCTCACATATCCTTTTATAAAGCATATATTAAGGATCTTTTCTAGAAAAATAAGGAACAAAATACAAAATAGAAATTCATAAAGAAAGAAATGGAACAGGAAACAAAGCAATTCAATCAATCAAAAATTGTTTGTGGGAGGTGGGGAGAAGGATGAGAAAAGTTCAGGGAAAAGAAAATACAGAATGCAACCTATTTAAAAAGAAAAACGTACAAGTAGATCAATAAAAGCAGAAAAAATTAATAAAAGTTAATATCCATTTTTGCTTAAAAAAACCCTTTTATCAAACTAAGAAACAAAAAATGTTATTTAATCTGATAGACGACATCTGCCAACAACCATAGTAAACATGATGCTTTTTTTTTTTTTTTTTGAGACAGGGTCTTGCTCTGACACCTAGGCTGGAGTGCAGTGGAGTGATCATAGCTCACTCCAGCTTCGAACTCCTGGCCTCATACAGTCTTCTCAGCCCAGCCTCCCAAAGCACTAGGATTATAGGAGTGAGTGAGCTACTGCACTTGGTCATGATTCTTAATAATGGGGAGTGGTAGACATTTCCTTTATAGTCATGAAAAATGCTACAAGCCCATGTCACCTCTTTTTTCTGGGTATAGCCAGTGAAAGACAAATAAAACAAATTATAAGTACCAGAAGGAAAGAAAACAACCTTTAATATCTACTGGTTATTTGACTATTAAAAAGAAAAAGAAAGAATATACAACTAGATTCTTAGAATTAATAAGAATAGTATAGTAGCTAAGGTCATAAAGTAGAAAACAAGAAAGACAAGGAAAAAGAGACAGAAACACAGAGGGAGTCAGACATTGAAATTCACTTCCTTTAACATATGTCAGATCGAGTAGACAAATATTGATATAGAAGGTTTACATAATGTGAATAATAAAGTTGCTATGATTTACATATTAAATTCTGCACTCTGAAATAGATAATATATATTCAGTTTTCCATGGTATCATTATAAAAATTTATCATACGTCATGCCATATGGAAAACCTTAATACATTTCAAAAAGTACAGAAAACAACTCTGTTAGTCAGCTTAGGCTGCTGTACCACAGGACCATAGGCCGGGAGGTTTAAACAGCAGCCATTTATTTCTTAAAGTTGTGGAGGTTGAGAAGTCCAAGATCAAGACGCCTGCTGATTCAGTTCCTGGTGAGAACTCTCTTTCTAGTTTGCAGATGGCCATCCTCTTGCTGTGTCCTCAAATGGCAGAGTGAGACAGAGAGAGGGAGAGAGGAAGGAAGAGAGAGAGCACATGCTAACTCTCTGGTAGCTTCTTATAAGGACACTAATCCCATCATGAAGACCCCACATTCCAGACCTCAAATAAACCTAATTATTTTCCAAAGCCTCCACCTCCAAATACTATCACGTTGGAGATTAGAGCTTCAACATAGAAAGTTTGGGAGGACACATATTTACAGTCCATAACAACATTTTCTAATCATAATGCAATAAAACTAGAAATTAATAACAAACATCTAAAAATTTAACTGTTCATGGAAAAATGTAAACATTCTCCTTTAAACGACTCTTGGATAAAAGAGGAAATTGGAGCTGGATATGCAGAATACCGAGGAAATACTAATAAAGCAGACAGTACCTATAAGAAGCTATGGCATATAGCCAGAGACCACACTCAAAGGAAAATGTATAGCATTAAATACCTCAACTGAAATTATAAATTAAAAACTAAATCAAAAATTCAGAGAAAATACTAAATAATCCAAATGAAACAATAAATGCAACAATAAAAGGAGACAAAAGGAAGAAATAATCAGATAAAGCGGATACAAATAAGTTAGAAAACCAAAAAAATTCATAGGCTTAAAAAGTTAATCATAGTTTTTTTTGAAAAATGTATGTAACATCAACTAATCTAATTAAGGAATAATGAGATAGTGATGAGGTAGGGGGCAGGAGAGAAGTGGAAAAACGTGCCAACCAACCCAGTATAAATTTTTATGTAGAAATAACCATGAAATTTCTGGGCGCAGTGACTCACGCCTGTAATCCCAGCACTTTGGGAGGCCGAGGTGGGCGGATCACAAGGTTAGGAGTTCGAGACCAGCCTGGCCAATATGGTGAAACCCCGTCTCTACTAAAAACACAAAAATTAGCCAGGCATGGTGGCGCTTGCCTGTAGTCCCAGCTACTTGGAAGGCTGAGACAGAAGAATCGCTTGAACCCAGGAGGCAGAGGTTGCAGTGAGCCGAGATCGTGCCACTGCCACTCCAGCCTGGGCGACAAAGCGGGACTCCATCTCAAAAAAAAAAAAAAAAAAAAGAAATAACCATTAAATCTCAAGATATTTTAGAAAACAATCATCGGTTACTTTTTTTCAATGGTTTACAAATATGTGAACATCTTATTAAAATGGACACAGGTCTTAGGAATTATAAACAGAAATTTCCATAGATTTTTATAGAAGGCCTGGCACGGTGGCTCACCCCTGTAATCTTAGCACTTTGGGAGGCTGAGGCGGGCAGATCACTTGAGGTCAGTAGTTCGACACCATCCTGATCAACATAGTGAAACCCTGTCCCCACTAAAAATACAAATTAGCTGGGCATGGTGGCGGGCACCTGTAATCCCAGCTACGCTGCAGGCTGAGGCCAGAGAATTGCTTGAACCTGGGAGGCGGAGGTTGCAGTGAGCCGAGATTGCACCACTGCACTCCAGCCTGGGTGACAGAGCAAGATACTGTCTCAAACAAACAAACAAACAAACAAACAAACAAAAGAAACATAAAGAAGCTAGCTTCTCAAATATCCCAGGCCAGAATGATTTCATTTTGAATTCTACCAAAACTTTTCAGAAGAGATTATTCCAGCACCATTTAAACTGATCCAGGAAGTAAGAAAATGAAGTAAAGGTTCCAAAACTTTTTTTTAGTATATTAATAAAGCTAAGAAAAAAATTGTGAATATCTCTGTATATGCTAAAACAGAATTTGATAAATTTAAACAATTTTTTATTTCAAAACAATCCATCTTTTTTTAACATGACACATTACACTTTCATTTCAGCATTCAAAGCCACTCTTATGCTTGATGGAAAACTTTAGACACATTCATGTTAGAGTCAGGAACAAGGCTGATGACCAGCATCAGTAATACTCAACATTGTTCTGGTGATACTACTCTCCCAGCTATTTGAAACGATCATGAAAATAAAGCTGTATGTAGGCCGGGTGCAGTGGCTCACGCCTGTAATCCCAGCACTTTGGGAGGCCAAGGTGGGTGGATCACTTGAGGTCAGGAGTTCGAGACCAGCCTGGCCAACATGGTGAAACCCCTTCTTGACTAAAAATACAAAAATTAGCTGGGCATGGTGGTGCACGCCTGTAATCCCAGCAACTCAGGAGGCTGAGGCAGGAGAATGGCTTGAGCCTGGGAGGTGGGGGTTGCAGTGAGCCGAGATTGTGCCACTGCACTCCAGCCTGAGCAATAGAGAGAGACTCAGTCTCAAAAAAAAAAAAAAGAAAAAAAGAAAAAGAAAAAAAAAAAGAAAAGCTATGTGAATAGAAGTAATAAGTTTGGATACAAAATCAGAATACATCAGTAGTTCACGTATACACAGTTGGCATTTAGGTTAACTGTTGTAATGAAAAAGAAATGCCATTTATAATTACAATAAAAAGATAAGATTTCTTCAACTGAACCTGGGTGGGGAGGTTGCAGTGAGCCAAGATCACTGCATTGCACTCCAGCCCAGGCAATAAGAGTGAAACTCTGCCTCAAAAAAAAAAAAAAAAAAAAATAGATAAGATTATTAGGAATATACAGAATAAACTCCTAGATGAGAAACACCAAACAGACTTTAAAAACATGTAAAGACACACCTTGTCCTTCCCTTGAGAGATGCAACATTGTAGAGATATATCAGGTCTCCATGAGTTTATTTATAAAATTAATGTGATTCCAGTGAAACAATATTAGGATTTTCTTTTTGGAACTAGAAAACTGATTCAAAGTTTTGGAGTTTCAGGGACTCGCAGAAAAAGAAAAGAAATAGTGAAAGGCGGAGGCCAAGCTTATCAGATATTAAAACATAACACAGAGCGTTAACAATTAAAGCAGTGTGGTAGTGATGCCTAGATAGACCTATCAATGAAACAGAAAACCCAGAAACAACACCGATGCATCTGGCTCAATACTACATAAAATGCAGAGAAGATTTCAAATCTTCAGGGAAGAGATAGGCTAATAAAATATTAGTGATCCAGATTCATAACTCTTACTTACTAAACTTTGATATGTTTCCAAGGAATCAAATGTTTAAAAGAAAACATGAAACAATACAATCACTAGAAAAAACAAGGACTAATTTGTTACGAGCTTAGAATGAAAAAGATCTTTCAAACTATGATTCAAAATCCACATAAAGAAATCATAAAGGAAAAAATTGATAAATTTGCATATTTGAATATTAAAATAAAAAACTTCTAGATGAAATTAAACAACTACAAAATTCATCAGTGACAAACTAGTACTAGACAAACAAATACTAGACAAACTAGTAACAATAATTGCAGCTGACACAGCAGACAAAATTCAATAATTCTTCCTAATATATGAAAACCTCCTAGAAATTGGAGGGAAAAAACCCGATAATCAAATAGAAAACTGGATAAATCAAATAGAAAATTGGATAAATGTGCACAGAGAGTTCATGAAAAAGATGCTAGATGTTTAACCTTATTTACAATAAAAGAAATGTGAATAAGAGATGCCAATTTTAACATACAAAATTAGCAAAAGTGCAAAAGTTAAATAACATATTCTGTTGACAAGGCCATGGAATCAGGGATTCCCATATGTTTCTGGTAGGAGTACAAAGTCTTAGAAATCTGCTGGAGGACAATTTGGCAATATCTATCAATGTTAATCATATATATATATAAAAACATACATTTCATACGTGTGAAATTACATATACCAAACAATGTTTGTAGCACTGTTTCTCATACCAAATATTGGAAATAACTTAATAATAGACAAATGAATTCATCCATAGTGGACAAGTTAAATACTCTATGGTACATTCCATATAATAGAACAGAGCTGAAAATAAAAATAAGAAAGCTCTTCCTATAGACTGACATGGAAATACCTTCTGGGAATATAAAGTGAAGAGGCAAGGAACAGTGGATACAGTATGGTATATTGTGGTGGGTGGCAGGAAAGGAGGAAAAATAAGAGTATATTTGAATTTGCTTATCTGTTCAGAAAGAAATGTTGGAAGGACACAAAAAATAATTACCATGGCTACTTGAGAACAGGAACAGCAAAGTAGGATCTGCTCAGTTGTTAAATAAGGATTAGAAGGAGATGGCCACTTCGATTCCTCACGGATCTAGAACTAGAAATACCATTTGACCCAGCCATCCCATTACTGGGTATATACCCAAAGGACTATAAATCATGCTGCTATAAAGACACATGCACACGTATGTTTATTGCGGCTCTATTCACAATAGCAAAGACTTGGAACCAACCCAAATGTCCAACAATGATAGACTGGATTAAGAAAATGTGGCACATATACACCATGGAATACTATGCAGCCATAAAAAATGATGAGTTCATGTCCTTTGTAGGGACATGGATGAAATTGGAAATCATCATTCTCAGTAAACTATTGCAAGAACAAAAAACCAAACACCGCATATTCTCACTCATAGGTGGGAATCGAACAATGAGAACATATGGACACAGGAAGGGGGATATCACACTCTGGGGACTGTTGTTGGGTGTGGGGAGGGGGGAGGGATAGCATTAGGAGATATACCTAATGCTAAATGACGAGTTAATGGGTGCAGCACACCAGCATGGCACATGTATACATATGTAACTAACCTGCACATTGTGCACATGTACCCTAAAACGTAAAGTATAATAATAAAAATAAAATAAAATTTAAAAAAAAGAAAATGTGGCACATATACACCATGGAATACTACACAGCCATAAAAAAAGGATGAGCTCATGCCCTTTGCAGGGACATGGATGAAGCTGGAAGCCATCATTCTCAGCAAACTAACACAGGAACAGAAAACCAAACACCGCATGTTCTCACTCATAAGTGGGAGGTGAACAATGAGAACACATGGACACAGGGAGGAGAATATCACACACCAAGAGTCTGTTGGGGGTGGGAGACTAGGGGAGGGATAGCATTGGGAGAAATACTTAATGTAGATGATGGGTTGATGGGTACAGCAAACCTCCATGGCACATGTATACCTATGTAACAAACCTGCACATTCTGCACATGTATCCCAGAACTTAAAGCATAATAAAAAATAATAATTAAAAAAAAAAGAAGGAGATGGCAACTTAAACATGTAAATCACATAAAGGTATTACTTATTCAAAAAACTTAAAACCAAATATAGTAATACACATGTGATAAATGTTACGTCTGAGGTATAGCAAGTGCCAGGGAGAAGGTGATGAGCGGACATTCAATTATGTTAGGTGGTAGGGAAACTTGCAGAGATAAAATCGTAATAGTACTGGTACTGGGTCTAGAATGTTGAGTAGAAACCCACCAGGAATACAGGGTAGCAGGAGTGTGGGGTCAGGGGAAAACTTTTCCTTCAATCTCTGAAGGTTTGGTGAAAATCACTGAAGAAAGGCAGATTAACAGGAGAAAAGGCATACACACTTATTTGATCTTGTTTTATGTGACACAGGAGACTTCAGAATGAAGACCCAAAGGTAGAGGGGGAAATTGTCCATTTTTATACTTAGGTTCAACAAAGTATGGACAGCCCTGTAGAAATATAATTAGACAAAAAGGGTATGATGTAATGCTAATAGACTGTGAGGAAGCCCAGCAAGGCCTGTTTAGATCCTTCCTGGACTCTGTGCAGTACTCCATCGTTCCATCTGGGCATGGGGCAGGACCTTCTCTGGAATGGGAGTGTTATGACCTACACTTAAACCAGGTAGGTCAGATAATTTCTATACGGTTTACACAGAAAGGCTGGAGGGGAGCTGGGGGAAGTAGAAACAATATTTGATGCTTTGTGGCTGGCTTTGGGGAAAGGGATTCTGGTTTCCATGACCTGCCTTGAGGAAGAGGGAGTCTAGTACGCATGGCCAGCCTGGCGGTGGTGGGGAGGAGGAGATGGGTGGAAATGAAGGTCCAGAGACAGGAGGTTTGGAGAAGGTCAGAGAGAGAGCTGCTTCTGAGGACTTCATTTTGCAGTAACATTTTCTGAGACCCTGCAAATGAAAATGCATTTCAGATGTCAAAAGACAAAATTACAATAAATTTAAAGATTTTAATTGGATTTTATTTGTGATTCTAGAACTTGTCAATAGCTCATTCCATAAAATAGCATGAATGTTCTGATGACCTTAACAGAGAGGCTTGACTTTATAGTGACAGAAAAGAGCTGAGGAAAGCAGAAACAGAACAAAAGCGGATTGGTCATTTCAAAATTAATTTCCTTGTAAAGGTTAACAGACAGGATACTTCCTTATCATGCCAGCTGGAACAGGCCTATTTGAGGTTGTATCTATTATCTCTTCTGATTTTTTGGAAGGTCAGATAAACAACTTAGTTTTGCCTTGGTGGCAGGGAACTTCAGCACGAGTAACCCCATTTTGGTTTGGTCTATTTGGCCTAGTGCAAGAGCTTTGCTCAAACCAATGGCCTCCTATCAATTTTACTTAACACAGTCATTCAGGCTGAAGCAAAAACGTATATAAACATGACGGCATTGGTAGAAGCTGAAGATTTTCCAGCCTGACACTGCCCATGGATCCTGCCATGATTAAGTGGCCCTCAGTCTCTCTATAATGAACCAAGTAGAAAGTCCACCTCACATTAGAAATGTCAGTCTGTGAGTTCATTTCTCATTCTTGTGGGATGAATATCAAAAGTTAGATCTTTATTCATATTCAAGTTATAATATTAGTGTATGAGTGTATCAAATTCTGTCTACAAAATTAACAAAATTAGCCCTTTGTTGCTAACAACTGTGCTGAGCTCTTTTGCCAAGGGTGTGAGAAATTCAAGGCCGAACAATCTTTATTTTCCCTCTGGTTCGCTTTTGTGATGGTTAGCAAATATTTAACAAATGATGGAATCAGTCCCAAATTATGGAATTATCTTTCATCCTTCTTCAAATTACACACAAAATGTCTCACCAAATTCCACCCATCTGCTTTCTAAAATTTTTCTATCACTTGCCCCACCTTTGCCCATTTCCACTGTTACTACCTTCTTTCACTATGGCAAAGATCCCATCCAGACCCTTCTCTCCTTTTTCTCATCCAGATTCATCATTTCCTAAGGCATTTCTGTTTCTCAGGTTTCTTCACCTTCATTCTGAGGACACTGTCACAGGAAATTGTAAGGAATATTGGCAAACCTACTAGGCTTAAGAATTTTTCGGAGGCATCCAGTTACTCTTTAAGGCACTTTCTCAATTCTCTTCCAGGACATATTTTTTTTTTTTTTCCTGTATTGACTGTCAAACAGTGCCAGTAATTTTAATACGACATAAACTTGGAGTCCATTGCTACAAAATACGTCACAATTCGAGTAGGGAATTCAGGTAGAGCTAAAGTTCCCTTTTTACTTCATATACAGAATTTTTTTTTTTTTTTTTTTTTTTTTTTTTACCAAACAAATCAACAGTATCATCAAGACTGCCTGGGTAATTTGTAGGCTATTTAAGAGAACAAATTGTTTTCAAGCATTCGTAGGCAGTGTAGAAGAATCTATTTACATTCAAATTATTCGCTAATTACAAATCATTATTAGCTATTAACTAAGAAAAGCCACTTAAAGACAACTACTAAGCAACATTTTGTTAGACTGGTTCTATTTCTGGGGACTGGAACATGATAAAACTGAGGTTAAAAATACTTTGGAATCCATTTTTTATTTCCTCAATTCAAACACACCTCTTCTTATTTCTACCAGGCCAAATGCTTGTGGTTTTATTGGACCTGCAAAATATCTGCATACAGAATAATATATACAAGAGAAAGCGATAAAACTGAATTTGAGAAGTTAGATCCCGCAAGGTTACTCCCCAACTAGACTATTTCTCTGGATTTTTTTTAAAGCCTATAATCAAGGCGGTAGAACAACACAATCCCAGAAGAGACAGCTGCAGAGGAAGCAGGGATAAGCATTTGTTTTTACTTTGAAAACATGAGCTCACTGCCAACAGGTTTTGGGCTCCTGTACAAGTCTTTCCAGAATTACACAATGATTTCAGTACAGAAGAAGAAATGATGGCCAAAATTACCTTTGATTTAGCACATAGTTTTTTCAAGTCTCAACAGACAAAAGTCAAAATAGATGTCCTATCATCTACTGTAGAGATCAACTTAATGGAAGAAGGAAAAGAGCTCTGCCTTAATCCCTATGATTCTGTTCCAGAGCGGTATGAGCCCAGCTGATTTCAGTGCAGTGCAGCAGTATCTTTGGTTCCATGTCATGGTAAACACATAGGAACACCAGCAAAATTCTGGTTTTGACACCCTTAATCCCTCCAGTGGCATTCATCATTCTTAGAGAATTGGTGGAAAATTGTGAGAGTGAATTCTTTATGCAAGTGGTTTGCAAACTGTAGTACTCTCTAGATGTCAGGTGAGATTATTACTGCCTGCAAATGGACACTACTAAATATATAAACCCAGAATGATCTTCTCAGGTGGTTGTACAAAGACACGTCAAGATATTTTTTAAAAAGAGAAGGCAATAGTCCAGGCACAGTGGCTCACGCCTGTAATCCCAGCACTTTGTGAGGCTGAGGCGGGCGGATCACGAGGTCAGGAGATTGAGACCGTCCTGGCTAATACGGTGAAACCCCATCTCTACTAAAAATACAAAAAAATTAGCCGGGCATGGTGGCAGGCACCTGGAGTCCCAGCTACTCGGGAGGCTGAGGCAGAAGAATGGCATGAACTCGGTAGGGCGGAGCTTGCAGTGAGCCGAGATCGCGCCACTGCAGAGCGAGACAACATCTCCAAAAAAAAAAAAAAAAAAAAAAGAGAAGGCAATATGTGCTCCATAAACACATATAAGTAATCTCCAATGTTTCTGTTTCTGTGTAGAGTAGTGGATTCACAGGTTTTTAATATGCTTTTAAGGCAAAGAATCAAGGAACCAAATAGTACCATGTATGAGATTAACAAAACCTGCCATAAATGAAGAATGATGATTCATCTAATTCTGTACACCAGATATGTTAGCAAACAGTCCCTCCAAATATGTTAGCAAATTTAAAGAGGGCATTTTTACTCTGATCAGCTAACTTTCAACTGAGCTCAGTAAAGTCATTAGTGTCTGACAGCTGACAATATGCATTTGAATTTCTTGAGTCTTTAACTCTCCTACCAGAGAGCCCATGCTTCACTATGTTCCCCAAGTAGATCAGCAGTTGTAATAAAATACAAGGCCTTCACAGGGGCACTATAAACAGGAACCTACCTAATGAATGTGCAAACTGTTCGGTATCCGAAGGCATTATTAGCTTTCTGTTTGTTCTTTAGTATGATAATAGAAGACCCTGTGAACTCAGTCATGTTGATCAAGAAAAAACTATTTAATGAAGTAATGCATTAAGCCAGTTGTTTGGCATAATTTAGCAAAATAAATATTTGAACAAACGACCACTATTTAAAAAAATATTTCAATGGTTTCTATTGACAGTAGACTTTGTGCTATTTAGCCTACTGGTCATTATTGGCCAAATACTAACACCATGCATCTATGAGCCTCTATTAGGGACATTTTATTTTTTAAAGGATAGTGTAACATCTATCTGCTATGTAACAGAGTTCTTACAACCCCTCCAAATGCATCCTGCTTGGCTGTTTGCTGCCATGTTTAAACAGCAAAACCAAAACTTGGAGGTGCTTTTATTTCCCCCACTTTGCCTAGATGGCCTGACATTAAAAAAAAGTGACCCTCAAAATAACTGGGAATCTGCCCTATTTAAGAGGTGATAGCCCATTTTCATACTGCTTTGAAGAAATATCTGAGACTGGGTAATTTATAGAGAAAAAGAGGTTTAATAGACTCACAGTTTCACATGGCTGGGGAGGCCTCATAATCATGGCGGAAGGTGAAGGAGGAGCAAAGGCATGTCTTACATAGCAGCAGCAAGAGAGCTTGTGCAGGGGAACTGCCCTTTATAAAACCATCAGATCTGATGAAGCTTATTCACTATTACAAGATGGGAAAAACCTGCCCCCATGATTCAATTACCTCCCATGGCGTCCCTCCCATCACACGTGGGGATTATAGGAGCTACAATTCAAGCTAAGATTTGGGTGGGGACACAGCCAAACCATATTAGGTGACATTATTTTTATCTGAGTCATTTATGTCAAATTTCCATGCAAATTCTAAGACATTCCTTTATATTAACTTTCATAATATTACACAATATGTAATGTTAACTCACTTCCATAGGTGGCTGGAATGATAATGGACAATTTTTTTGGAGATTGTTCTATTGAAATATTGTGAAATAGGTGAGGGAAGTAAGAAAAATCATGAAACAGGAAACAAACAAATGTACCCTTCCGGTTGTTACGAGGTCTCAAGAAGCAATGCCCCAAAATGAGGGTCTCAGAAGCAGTTTTGTCTGACCTTCTCCTGCCCTCATAATTCTGGCCCTTTCTGCTCCCCTGAGGTTAGCCATAGAAAACAGAATCCCTTTTCCATAAGGTAGGTCACAGACACCAGAACCTCTTTTTTCCAAAGCCAGCCATAAAATGTAAAAATGTCATTCTAACCTAAAAATATGACCAAAACCTACAAATATTACTCTAATCTTTGATCCCCTGCCTTTCTATGTAAAAATTGGCCATAAAGAAATTATCTGACCTACCTTGTTTGATTTTAGGTGATAAGACCCCCATTCCAGAAAGGGTCTTGCCCCACCCCAGAGGTAAGGAATGCTGCACAGAGAGGCCAAGAAGGATGTAGACAGACATGCCTCGCTGGGTTCCCCCAGTCTATTAGCATTAGATTCTACCCTTTTGCCCAGTCATATTTCTATAGGGCTGTCCATACTTTGTTGAACCTAAGCATGGACAGTTTTCCCTGTATCTTTAGGTTTTCATTCTGAAAGTTCCCCTGTCATGTAAAAGTATAATCAAATAAATTTGTATGCCCTTTCTCCTATTAATCTGCCTTTTTAAGTGATCTTCAGCGATCTTTCAGAGGGTGAAAGGGAAGTTTTCCCCTGGCCCCTACATTGTCTGTACCATCATCAGGCAGCAGAAGAAGACACAACCCTATGGCTCTTGGCTCACCCCTGAGCAGAGATTGCAAGTTGGTTCTGGAGTACCCAGCTGAGCTGTCAAGCCCACTGCCTGGCTGGCCCAGGACTTTAAAATGTCCTGCCAAAGGTTTTCTGAAGGAAGAAAAAAAGAATGCTTTTGGGATTTCTTTTTTGGAGCTCTGTAATGCATAAGCTCATGAAAGACTCCGAGAAATCCTACATAAAGAAACGTTAAATTTTGTTTTACCCAGAATGTTTCTAAACGCAGTTGAAATGGAATTCTAATTTTGAGAATATCCATTGAATTTCCATAAAACTACTCTTTGTTGGGATGTGTTTTAGAAAATGTAGTTTATATAGAGATAATTTATGTTCTTTAGTAATGATAATAAGAAGGTGTGAGAAGAAACACTCAATATGGGCAAACAGAGAGGGGTAAAAAGGAGTGTATCGACAGCATCAGTTCCATTGGTGAGAAAACCAATTAGCAAATTAGGACTGATGAACAAATAGTGTTTTGATATGTATGTGAAAATTGGCATATGTGTAAATGTATATGACAATTTTAAGAAATAACAGGAAATGCAAGATTTTATAAATGGAGCAGGTTTTTTGAAAATATAAAATTCTATTCTCTATTTTCCCAGAAAGTTTATCTAAGAATGGATCTGGAAAGTGATTCAGAGAGAAAGTCTCGTCTCTTCCTTAAAACTCATCAGTACAGGCCAGGCACAGTGACTCATCAAGTCTGTAATCTCAGCACTTTCGGAGGCCGAAGCAGGTGGATTGCTTGAGGCCAGGAGTTTGAGACCAGCTTGGCCAACATGGTGAAACCCCATCTCTACTAAAAATACAAAAATTAGCCAGCCATGGTGGCACATGCCTGTAGTCCCAGCTACTCCAGAGGCTGAGGCAGGAGAATTGCTTGAACTCGGGAAGCAGAGGCTGCAGTGAGCCGAACTTGCACCACAGCACTCCAGCTGGGGCGACAGAGTGAGTGAGACTCCATCTCAAAAAAAAAAAAAAGTAAAACTCATCAATACACACTCTGCATAAGTAGAAACATTTCTATTTTATGCCACATCTCAACTATGTTTTGTACCAAGGATTGCATATGACCCGTTTCTCTTATCTTACTAATATTATCCTCTTTGGGCTGCATTAGTCCATGGTAACGGAGTCTGGAGCAAGTGTGGTTTAGCAGCGTAGGTCTGTTCCCAAATGGAATGCTGGAAGCACCAGAGAGAATGTCAAGCACTTCATTTTGCATTTTCTCTGTAGATCTTGCATATTTATGTGAGCCACTGAATAGAATGCAAACAAGGGGGTAGATGGTTAGCATATTTTTGGAGTAGTTGTTTTTCTCCAAAGCAGAGGCTTAATGTCAAGGCTCCTTTTGGAATTCAGGGAGAAAAAAGAAAAACCTCAAAAAACTAATGAGAAAATGTGTCCTGTTGTGTAAATGCTATAAATATTTAACATTACAAATGTGTCTGTGAGTCACAAAACAATATGCTCGATAACAATTGCTTATTTAATCTTTTGTCAAAGATTTATTTTCTTAAAGTATGGCATGAAGGAGAGAGAGAAAGAGAGCACATTTACTACCTCTTTATTACCTTACAATAATCACTTTCCATGAAAAAAGCATTCAAATTCGCACTCAGAGAGGGAACAACTGAGAAGACTGCCCTTCCTGGAAGCAAAGCTTTGATGTGTTTAATAACAAAGGGTCTGTGTCTGCCATGGAACTGAAAATGATCTGAATGTCTATTGCAAGGAATAACTTCTCCACAAGCTTCAGACATCGAAAGTTCTCTATCATGAATCTCTCTCTCTCTCTCTCTCTCAACCTCTCTCTCTCATAAAAATCTGTCATATATATGAATAATACTATATGCTTTCATAAAATAATAATAAAATAAAATGTAATAAAATAATAGCTATTACTAACATTAAAATGACTTAGTATAGGCAACATTGACAGATGTTAAATACATACTAGGTGAAAAGTAGCTGATGATACATAACATCATACTTATAAATGAATGCACAGACTTCCCCTCAATTCCTGTGGTCTTGATCATTTTGCTGTAACTATCTCTTCAAAGCAAGCATTCAACATATCATGGTCCAATTTCCTTTTCTTTCCGGCTTTTTTACTTGCATACCTGTTTGAGTGTGTTATTTGAAAATTGCATTGGAAAGCTTTGTTCCCTGAAACAGGTTGATTTCATGAATAATAAGAATGACTTGGCTACATTGCCTTAGGATTTAAACTTCCCATAAGGGAATCTGTTCTACATTTTTCCCTATCCACTGGAGTTCAGAGACGGCAGCAACAATATCTGGGGTCTTTTAAGACTCTGGGTATTTCTTCAAAAATGATGATGCTTTATTGGTATAACTGGAAAGTCAAAAGTTATGCATAGTGTAGGTTTGAGCAAGCAATTCTAGGAGTATCTAGTCACACTGTGTCTTTTCTGAGATATCTGGGCTATTTTAGCTTGAAGATGAACTCATACACAGTTGTAGGTCCAGGTCGGGGTCCTCTACGTATTCTTCATCCACACAATATCTGGGAATGGCCTTCTCAAAACATAGACCTGAAACGAAAATTGTTGCTAAATGCTCTTCCAGTTTTGCTTATACCTTTCTCTGTCACCTCAACAGGAATTTTCTTGCCCAAATATGAAGCTCTTCGTACTAAGTAGGTATCTGTTGTTAGTGGTTAAGAGCATACCCCCTTCCAGAATACTGGAGTTAAAGGCATGATTGCTTTACATAATTCATATTTGAGCTTGGGAAAGTTATTTTTCTTCTCTGAATCTGCTTCTCCATGTGTAAAACATGAATAAAATATTACCCACTCTATGGGGACTAATGAAAATAAAATGCATTCGACGTAGTGAGCACATGCTGGCACGCAGAAAAGTAAAAATTATTAGCTATAATTGTGACTTGAACTGGATTTAGAGAAAATGTGATAATAATTTCACTGGCAGAAGTGGATTGGTACTATGTCCTCAAATTGGGTTGGGTCCTGTTGTGTATAAAATGGGCCGGGCGCGGTGGCTCATGCCTGTAATCCCAGCACTTTGGGAGGCCGAGGCAGGAGGATCACCAGGTCAGGAAATCGAAACCATCCTGGCTAACATGGTGGAACCCCGTCTCTACTAAAAATACAAAAATTAGCCGGGTGTGGTGGCGGGCGCCTTGTAGTCCCAGTTACTTGGGAGGCTGAGGCAGGAGAATGGCGTGAACCTGGGAGGCGGAGCTTGCAGTGAGCCAAGATCGCGCCACTGCACTCCAGCCTGGGCGACAGAGTGAGACTCCGTCTCGAAAAAAAAAAAAAGATTCTATGAAATGAAGAGGCTAACAAGAAATTTGAAATTCCTCTTTTTCCGAGGATCAGAACTACTCCACCTTTATTATTTACATATAGTAATAAGGATCTGATTGATTTATTGGGGATCGTTGACTATTTATTAATTGTATGTATAAATCAGGTGTAATGTAATTTTCACATTTTTGGCAGTTGAAATGTCATAAGTGCTATTTTTTTCCCTAACTTTTTCACTGTTTCTAACATAAGTGAAATGAAAATTAGGAACTTTAAAGACCAGGATTTACCAAATGGCATTGCAAGACCATATGCACTAGCCTGAGAAGTAACGTTATTCCTTTCATGGTTCTTTGATGCCATGTGGACACACACAAGAATCATTATGACATATAAATTATATATACTATTTTTTAATTATAATTTCTTCCATTAAAAGTTTCCACAATATGCTATGCAATGCTTAATTGGACATTTTAAAGAAATAATTATTTCAGGTTTAATTAATCTTAGCCCTTGTTGGCATATGTTGCATAACTTTTAACTGGAAACTGCTAGTTTTATGACAGTAGAAACAAGCTAACAAAGGAAAAATTAAAACTACCACAAAAACTTAATACCCGTCCCTAATTTTATAAACATATCAAAATAAATGCCTTGGTTTCCTTTTTGATTACTCAGTAACTGAGTTATGCGTGTACAGTAGGCCTATCTCCCAGAAGATATCACTGGCTCTGAAGGGAAGCTTCAGACTCTCCTCTCAGAAAGCCAGAATGTTGTTTCATAGAATTTAATCTAGTCCTAGAAATCAAACCCTACATAATAGTTTTGACTACCATGGCATTCTTTGATTTGTTAACTGTGCTCTCTCTGTTTTCCCTTTGAAAGCTTGTAGAATATTTTATAATTAAAGGAACGAGCAACCTGAAAAGATCTTTTTTTCAGCTTGATATTCCATACATGTATGTTTAATCTCTGCCTCTGACTCACTGCCTACTTTCTGTGATACTGAGCAGAGAGAATGCCAGGACTGTAGGGAATGTACCAAAACCACTGAGGTCACTTTATAAACAGAGTGTGTTTAAAGGAGGTTTAAAGAGATCCTAGGAAATGTGAGACCCATAGAAGTTCTGCCCAGGGAATAGATACCCCCACCCCCTCACTTACTAATTCTCTCTTGCTCAATCCATGGAAAAAGATTCAATCAGACAAGTTTCTGAGTTTAAGGTCAATTTGAAATTCTTTTCCTACCTCTTTTCATTTTTTCCAAGCCAAACATTTTACTGGCTCTGAGGCAAAAGCATAGAAGTTTATCCTTACTTGCCCTAGACACCCTGTTATTTTCATTTTAAATAACCAGTTTCTATGCTTGGAGCTTTTAACCCACTGAGCGAGATTTCTCTGGATTTTCTCTCCTCCAATTTGTCTCAATTTGTACTACTTTTTAAAAACACAGGCCAGTGTGTCCGATTTTGCTTACCCACACGCAACCAGCATCATACTCCACCTGTAAGGGTTTCTTTCCAGCGATTGCCCTAATTTTCACCTCGTCTTTGTAGTAGAAGTCCTATAAACATTGTCTATAAAGACAGTCTCAATACTTTTATCTCCTATTTTCTCTTTGATCTATTTTGACTAGGTCTTTGTTCCCACAAATTAATTGATACTCAAAAAAGTCACCGATGACTTCTATCTTACAAAATCCCATGGTCATAGGTATAAAATCTAAAACTATAAAATTTCTGGAAGAACATTAGGAAAAATTTTTAAACGTGTGTTAGTTAAGCAAAGATTTCTTAATTGTGACAGCAGAAGCAGGATTTATGAAAGAAAAAATGATATTTTGGGCTTAATCAAACTTAGAAACCTCTGCTCTTTGAAGAACATTAGTAAGAGAATAAAAAGAAAAGCCACAGACTCTGAGAAAATATTTGCAAAGTAGATAACTGATAAAAGTCTGGTGGACAGAATACATACAGAATATTCATATCTCACTAATAAGGGAACAACAAATTCAATGAAAAAAATGGATAAACGATGTGAATGGATAATCCACCAAAGAAGATAATAGAGTTGGAAGATAAGTACATGAAAAGATGCTCAGTATCATTAGTCATTAGGGAAATGGAAATTAAAACGACAATGATATGCCATCTTTTAGGATGGCTAAAACTAAAAGAAAAAAACCTATATAGCAACTAGAATTCACTTATATTGCTGGTAGTCATAAAAAATGGTTTAACAACTTTGAAAAGCAGTTTTAACATTCAGGTTTTTTTTTTTTCATAAAATTAAACATACAATTATCATATGACCCAGGAGCTAAGTATTTACTCAAGTGAAATGAAAACCTATGTTCAAACAAAAATTTCTATGTGAATATTTATTGTGAATTCATTTGTCACTTTCAAAACTGAAAGAATCATCAGTAGCGGAATGAAGAAACAAATTGTGGTCCATCTATACACTGCAATGCTACTCATCAGTAAATACAAAGGAATTACTGATATGTGTAATAAGAAGATGAGTCTCAAAGGCTTTATACTAAGTAAAAACAGTCAGATTCAAA
Source organism: Homo sapiens (assembly GCF_000001405.40). Classification (NCBI taxonomy): domain Eukaryota; kingdom Metazoa; phylum Chordata; class Mammalia; order Primates; family Hominidae; genus Homo; species Homo sapiens. The sequence goes on from NC_000006.12 coordinate 22,882,722, forward strand.
TGGCCACATGCTGAATGATTCCATTTATAGGACATATTGTGAAACTACAGAGGCAGAAAACAGATCTGTCGCTAGCTATGGGGAAGGTGTTGGCTACAAAAAGCCACAGGATATTTGAGTCCTGATAAAAGTTCTATGTGATGATTATGGTGGTGATAATACAACTGTGTATGTTTCTGAAAACTTGCAGAACTTTAAGCCAGAAAGAGTATTTTACTTTATGTAAATTTTACCTTAGTGAAAAAAAAGGCTGTGGACATTTACCCCATAAACAGCTATGATAACTGATTATCATTCAAAAATAATCTAGGGGTTAATTCTAAGTCTGCACCTTATCTGACCTTTCAGCAGCATTTGGCAAAGTTGACCACTTCCCTCCTTTCATGAATTACCTTTTAATTTTTTTAATTTTTTGTTTCATGCATAACACACTTTTCATGTTGGCATTCGACCTTTACTGACTGCTCCTCACAATCTCATTTCCTGACCCTTCCTCCTATTCTTTACCTCTAAATGCCGGAATGCCTTGGCTCTTTTAGGCAGGGTGGCCAGACCAGGCTTCTTTCAGGAGGGGAAAGTTGAACAGAAATCTAAACAAAGAGGAAACACAACGTTTCCTCTTAGGACTGGTGAGATAATTTGTGGGGTCTAGCGCAAAATGAAAATATAGGGCCCCCAGTTCAAAACTTATGAATAATTCCAAGATGGCAACAGGACAGCGTTAATCCAGGGGGCCCCTCTGAGTGCAGGACCCTGTGGGACTGTGCAGGTCACACACCGGATGCCATTGAAGCTGGTCCTGTTGCTGCTTCTCAGCACGTCCACTCCTAAGGCCCATGTCAAAGCTGAGCTGTCTCTCACAGGACAATCTCAGTGACTTTGCAGCTGGACTTCTTGCTTCTGTTCTTTTTCCCTTTTAGGAAATTATCCACATAGAAGCCAGAGTAATCTTTTTAAAATATCATTGTGCTCCTCTGCTCAAAACTTTTCAGTGACTTTCCATCACTTTCCTATAAAATCCCAAGGCTGGCTAAGGCTACCACCCCTCCAGATCTGGCCCCACCTGATTTTATGACCTTGTCTGTTACCACCCTCCCTTTCCATCACTTGCTCAAGCCACTCTGGCCACCGTGTTCCTCTTTAAGTCAGTCCAGTGCCTTTCCACCTCATGGCCTTTACACTTGCTAGCCCATTACTGTAGAACACGGCTTTCTCAGTTCTTTGTGAGATATATTCTCTTTGTTTTCAAATTTCTGTTCAACTCTCATATCCTGAAGGAGGTCTTCTGTGTCCACCCTGTCTAAAAGAGTTGTCCCTCTCCTACCTGCAACACCTCCTGCCAAGTCTCTTTATGTTCTCTTTCCCTGAATAACATGTTTTTCATAGAACTCATCTGGAATTCTCTCGTACACTACTTTATTATCCATTTTCCCTGCAGACCTGTAACCCCCATGAGAACAGAGGCTTAATCTGGTTTCTTGCTGTATATCTGGTGCATAAGATGTGCCTAACACATATTAGACTCTCAGTACACACACACACACACACACACACTCTTCTCCTCTTTGCTTTGGTACTTGCATTTCTCCTCTTTTCTTTGCTACTTGCTATAAAATTATCCCTGCTCCTTCACTCTTCCATAAGTAAATCAATAGTAGGCTGAACCATATGAAATGGTGACATTGTGAATACGTGATCATTTTGGAACTACAAAATGGCAGTTTCATATGGTTCAAATTAATAATATTGTATAAAAACAAAAACACATGAATGTGGCAATGACACACTGATTAAGATAACAAAGGTATTTGATAGGAAAGGTCAAACATCATGATCAGAATATTGTTCCATATAAATAAAACCTGGAGCCGCCACTGTGATGCCTCTACCTTCCTGTGAAAGTTACGAAGCCGGTAGAGAGTGACAGGATGTCTGCTTCCTGAATGATAAGAAGAAACGAATGGATTTCACACTGACAGCTTGTTAATCCACTACTTGGCAACCACAACATTGGAGACCAATCCTCAGTTTCAAAAATCCGCATTCTCTCTTGAAGTCTTATTTAAGTAATATCTGTGCAATCGATGAATGAAGCCAAACCAGAGACATGTATAAAAATCATAATGGTATTCACTGACAGATATTAGCTCTTTCTTTGCTAATCCAGAGAAAGGATTTTTTTTCATTTTTCTTTCCAGCACACCAGCTATTATTAAATTTAAGAAGTGCCAAAAACTAATCCTTTTTTTTTCCTATTTCTAACAACTGAAACATATAATCCCATGGTATTTGCACATTATACTTAATTGCAAATGGTTATCAACAGCATAAATCTCACATTAGTATGCTAGCTTCAGTGAGATTTGTTTGTACTTCCCACCTTTAATACTACGGATGGTTTAATACTGAATAATCTTTATATTTCAATACTTTCAGCTGCTTTTTACCTTTTTAGGTTTTCTTATCCAAAGTTTTCCCTGCAGCTTTGTAAGCATAATAAATCTATCGGCCTCCAAAGCCCACCTGACTTGAGACGTGATGGAGTTGGTAGGTTCACCAATTGAGTATAAGACTAAAGATTTCTTTCCTTATTCCTTTTCCAACTTTCTCCCATTGACTAATGTAATTTATATGCATGTGTATTCTGTGAGCATATTCAAACCTGAAATTTATGCTTTTGAAAAAATATAGCAATGATCAGGTTTACCTCTCTGATAACTAAATATATACTCATAATCATCAAACATTGCTAGCTCAATCTGTGCTACGCATATTCCTCCTATTAGGAAGACGTGCAGATGTTTTTGGTTATTAATCAGATACTAGATAAACAAAAAATTATTAGGAGATAGAAAATCAATTAAGTGAAAAGGAGAGTGACATCTATGCCTATGAAAGCAAGTCAGAGTTTCCTTATATGAACATAATAAATACCTAAAATTTTATCTCAACAGTTCTTTTTACCAGTTTTGAAAAAAATCCCAGCAAAATAAGTATATTGCTTAAAAATTTCATTATAAAGACACTGATAAAGGCTTACAAAAATTAAGTATACAGCATATTTTCAAATTAATCTTAACTTATATTAATCTGTTTATGTTTTTATAGAGCATTTTTCTAAGATAGTATGTGTATTAGAGAGAGAGAGAGAGAGAGAGAGTGTGTGTGTGTGTGTGTGTGTGTGTGTGTGTGTATAGTATGTGCTTCAGTAAGAAAAGACAGATGCAAATGTTAGTAGTGTGGTCCAAAACAACAATGTCCAATAATAAGGGATAATTAAGATGACTATTTTTGTTGGGGAAAAAATAATGCAGACATGGTCATCTTACTTGTTATTTATTATTAGATACTGAAGAATGTTTGACTAAACTTGCAAATGAGGGTACTTTGATGGAGTAGACATTTCAACTCACGTTCTTTTTTTTTTTTTTTTTTTGAGACGGAGTCTCGCTCTGTCGCCCAGGCTGGAGTGCAGTGGCGTGATCTCGGCTCACTGCAAGCTCCGCCTCCCTGGTTCACGCCATTCTCCTGCCTCAGCCTCCCGAGTAGCTGGGACTACAGGCGCCTGCCACCACACCCAGCTAATTTTTTTTTTTTGTATTTTTAGTAGAGACAGGGTTTCACCATGTTAGCCAGTATGGTCTCGATCTCCTGACCTCATGATCCTCCTGTCTCAGCCTCCCAAAGTGCTCGGATTACAGGCGTGAGCCACCGCGCCCAGCCTCAACTCACATTTTTAAAAATCTTTTCAAACTACATTGCTTTTGTTGAATAAAGATGTTCAAAACATGTAGGATGGCTTAGTAAAATAGACGTTAATAGAAATGGTCATAAAAGAAAGGTATAAAAAATACACTGCTTTTTTAGCAACCACATAGATCTTTAGCGGATATTTAATTCGTATTTTGGGATAATCTTTACATGAAACAATGATACTCTTTCACAATCTCCACGTCTAATTATAGTACACCTACTTAGATTTTGAATTTGGCAAATATGTCATATTTTGTTGTAAAGCATGCCTTCCTCGATTCTTTTATTTGCTAAGGGTTGGTTCTACTTTTAACAGTAGTTCCCAAGGCTGACTGCATATTAACATCACCCGAGAAGCGTTTACACAAAACGAATGTTTGCACTCCTACACAGAGCTATTGATTCAGAATATCTGAGGGGTGAAACATGGGAATTAGCATTTGAATTAATAATACACACTTTAACTGAAGTAGAATATGCATACAGAAGAATGCAGCCATCTTACATGTGCAGTTTAAGGAATTGTCACAAAGTGAACACACCTGTGTAATCACCACTCAGATTAATAGTATATCACCAGCACGCTAGGAATCCCATTCATTTCCTTTTGCAAATAGCCATTAGTACCTTTGAAAAGTCCCTCAGGGGTTTCTAACATATAGTTAACAATGAGAACCACCGTATTACATGCTAATTGTCTTGTATACCAATCTCTCTATTTTGATGGAGTTGTGAAGAAGAGGAAATAAATCAAACACATACTCTGTGTTGGTGGTTCCACAAGCATTATCTTATTTTATCTTTAAAACAACCATTTAGAATAGTTAGCATTACATCCCTTCAGATAAATGAGGAAGCAGAGGCTGAAAGAAATGACTAATTTGTGAAAGTGGTACCATTGAAATGAGAACACTGGAATGCAAATCCAGGCCAGCTTAGTGGTTAAAAGATCAAAGTGGATCAGGCTGACTTAGGTTTGAATACCAGCTCCACCACTTCCTAAATGTGGGACTTCGCGTCGATGGATTCAGTTTTATTATTAATGAAATGGAGATCATAATGCATTCTAACTCATCTAATTGCCATAAGGATTACATGTAAAGGACTTCAGTGCCTTATAACTATTATTATGGCTAGCATTAGTCTTTTATCTTATATCTGATTCCAGACTTAACTTTTCCCACTGCCTCAAATGGCTTCTTGTAAAAAGCCAAAGTGAAGAAGCCCCGTTTGCAACTTCTTGCCATATCTCTTGGTAATTGGTTGACTTAATTTCTTTGAGGACCATCAGAAGATTGAGTCATATGGAATGGGAGCCAGAGAAAAAGATGATCACAATGTATACACTAATAAAACTAATGTGTCTCCAAATTGCAAAAACACAGGAAAAATGGAATACCTATTATGCCCTTGCCAGATTAACAATTAGGTCCACTGATTTAAATTTAGAAGGACATCATTTGAAGAGATGTCCAGGTATTAAAGAAAAGTATGTTAAAATATTAATTATAAATGAAACTTATCATGCTGCTTTATAAGTTTACATTTCTCTCCTTTAATGGAATGTAGATAGAAATATAAAAATATATGTGAGTGTATATGTATATGTATATACACATATCTTCATAAATAGGTAAACTTATAAATAGGTAAGGGAACCAGGTTAATTAAAATAAATCAAGGGGATTGCCTCTCCTTGTCCCTTGAGACTGAGCTAACCAGTCTACAGGAGCTTTAAAAAGTCAAGTGATACTTAGGTGAGGAAAATAACATTATGTCACTGTTGTCCTTTCAGGTTAGCAAACAAAAGCTGGATACCGCAAATTACATAAGTTTCAGCCAGATATCTTTGCCTGACTAAATTACAATGTTAGGGAATTTCCACTACAGTCCTGGGATGTGCCCTGCCAATACCCTGCTTCCTAATTAGACCTGTTACCTCACTTGACCTACTCTTCCTGCTACTCATATAATTCTATTTAAAAAAAAAAGAAGAAAAAGAAAAGAAATAAATGAGAGTGATTAATGATCTCGTTGGACATGTATTTACCCTTCTACTTTGCAATGTGGGGAGGCAAAGATTAACAGCCTCCTTTAAGATTTCTCCAGCTAGATCAGTCTTGTGCTCTAGGAATTTCATAATTAAAACAATATATTTGTGGAAAGAGCTGTGACTAAGAATCAGCAGAGCTGTTTCACACCTGACTCTGACAGTTAAGTCTGTCAGGTCCTCTGGGTTTCGGCTGCCTCATGTGTAACAATGTTTCTGTTACCTCAGTTTCTCTGTGTGATTTGACTTTGGAAGGTTGAGGACAATATCTAAGAGATGCCACAGGGTTTTGTTCTGTTTATTTGCGGTGGTGTTTGCTTGTCTGTCTTTAAAGCTTTAGGTTTATGTCTATGTTAAAACTGGAATTTCCCAAACAAGCAAGGCAGAGAATGGCCAAATAATCACAAACTCATTGTAATCTTATGGTATCAGTACATCTTAAGGATATCCACTCACATACAGCTATTAGCAAGTTTCAATTCTGATTAAATTCCTCTTAATAGTTGAATGTAGTCAACTTTTTGTGTCTCAATTTTTTATTATTTTAATCTAATAGATTAAATCCTAGAAAACTTTGTTTTAAAATCAAGTATTTACTCTTAAATATGTTTTAATATTTATTAAATATAAAGTCTCACACAGAGCAATTGACTTTATTGAACAGACGTTTACAAGACTAATGGAAACTTCCTATTTGAATTATTCTATGAGATTGTCAGAATAGAATCAAATTGTACTAAACATTAAAATATTCCTCTTTCAAAACCTATGTAATTTTATCTTATCAGTCTATGCCTCAAGGATGTGATGAAGATATAGGGAATCAGAATGGAGGTATGAAAGTTGTGTGGAAAGGATACAGTGGTTTTCAAAATGTAAGGTATTAGTATGTAGTTGCTGCTATTTGAGAAGGATAATTTGACTGATTTCATATAAAATGTACGATAGTAGATGAATGAAGGTTTTAGCGTAATAATAAAGGTTTTAATCGTTTTTAATAAACATAGTTTATTATAGTAACCCTGTTAGGCATATTTTGGACATATTTTAGGATTTAGCCTTGCTTTGCTTTGGTACACTTCAAATACTAAGGTGTCTATCCTCATGTTGAATAAAGGCCAAGTGAATGGTGAGCCATTGGAAAAGCAGATGATTACGCTATTCTTTAGAAGTAGGAAATCTGGCATCAGCTGTCTAAATCGGTGTTTCGCAGAGTTAATTTCATATCACATTAATTCAAACAGGTTTTCTCAACTGTGGTACTCTTGATATTTTTGGCTGGGTAATTCTTGGTTGTATAGGGCCTGTCCTGTGCATTGTAGGATGTTTAGCATCCTGCTACTAGAGGTCAATAACACCTACCCATTTGTGGCAAGAAACAAAGGCATCCAGACATTGCCAAGTGCCCCCTGGAGAAAAAATTACCTTCAGTTAAGAATTACTTTTCTAATGTTTTATCCCCACTAAATGATTTTATGATGAAATTTATATGACAAATTCAGCAATAATATGACTCTCTCTTAAAGATTCACATTTAATATTGGCATGTTAAAGATTCTGAGAATCTTATTGCAAGGACACCGATTTACTCTTGTCTAATTTAACATTTCCCAAATATTTTGATGACAGGATTATCTATATCTTAGTAATAGCCATTTCAGATTTCTATACCATGTTACAAAACACACTGGAAAATTCTGGTGAAATTGAATATCTACACAAGCATTTGATTTACTTATAAGAAACGAGAGTTCTTATTAAATGTCTGACTTATTTCTGTATTTTTTTTTTCTTTAGAAGTAGTTTCACTCTTGTCGCCCAGGCTGGAGTGCAATGCTGCAGTCTCAGCTCACTGCAACCTCCGCCTCCTGGGTTCAAGCGATTCTCCTGCCTCAGCCTCCCAAGTAGCTGGGATTAGAGGTGCCCGTCACCCCACCCAGCTAATTTTCTGTTTTTAGTAAAGACGGGATTTCACCATGGTGGTCAGGCTGGTCTTGAACTCCTGACCTCAGGTGATCCAGCCACCTCAGCCTCCCAAAGAGCTGGGATTACAGGCGTGAGCCACCATGCCCGGACTATCTTTAAGTTCTAAAAAATAATTTAACTAATAATAGACACAACATCAACCATAGTAAGCTAATGAAATTGCCTTTTAGCTCATAACATAGTAGTTTACCAAATTACATGGCAGAGATTCATCATTCCCTTTTTGAGAGAAAAGTATTAGTAGTATTCTCACTTTTATGAGTCAAATAAATAGAGTAGAAAGCAGAAATCCAAATCATATTCTCAGGAGTCCACACTTTTGGTTGCCTGCTCACCTGTCATAGTATATCTTTTGGAAGTAGCCATCTCAGCATACTGTCGCAGGTACCAGCCATGCAATTAGGATGGGATCACATTCCCCTGCTGCATCTCCAGGGGCAATTGGCCTCATCCACTCAGCTCAAACCAATTCCATATTCACAATGACTGGCTCAGTGACAAACACTTAACCCAGGCCTAAACTGCTCAGTGCTTGGCATTTGGATAACTCTTTCCGGACTGCCCACTTGACCTAAGTTGGTCTGGTCAGATAGAGGCCTAGGACTTCAGTGCCATAGTTGGGGAAAGAAAAGCCCCTTGGTCAGGTCAAGCAAGTGGTCGGATGAGCAGATAGTTAGGTTAGCAGATAAGAGGCCTGTGACTGCTGCAACCTTTTGCTGCCAAATGGAAAAGTCACCTTCATGGGAAGCCAAAACATGGAAGAGGATGGAACCAGAGAATTCCAGAGTGAGAGATGTAGCATCCCAATCGAAATGCCTAAAGCCAGATCATTTTCAGTCGTCCAATAGCTCCTTTATTGTTTTGCCCACTTTGTGTTTAGGTTTCTGTCAATTACAGTGGAAACCATTCTTATCAATACACCCGAAAAGGAAATAGTAATAAATGCCATGTCATTTCAGAAATTAGTTATCACAATAGAAAACAAAATACTTGATTTAAAATTATTTTGCAAATTTCAAACCACATTATATTATTATTATTATGCCTAACTTACATCTTCCTAAGCTAGGTCACTGTTAATCACAAACTTCAAAATAGAAGAAAAAAATCAGGTAATATGGTTAGACACAATTAGTAAGGTAACTCCAAAGGAACGCCACAGACAACTTGCTATCTACTTGTCTAGCCATAGGTACTAGCTAGAAGTAAAAAAAACAAATATCTGGAGAGAATGGCCTAGGTGTAGCTTCCTAAGGAGAGAATAGTCAGGGTGAAAAAAGAACTTAGTATGTAACATGATAAAATGTTAACAAAAATAAGCTCTCAGTTGCCTTATTTTTGATAAATAAATGAATGATTCTGTTTAATTATTTAATTTATTGTGGAGAAGTTGGAACGAAGGAAATGATTAAAATCAGTCCAAATATTTGTCTAGTTTTTCCATGGATTCTTGCAAGCTTGTTTCTCCTTTTGATTCCATATCTAAGTTCTAGTTCTTGCAAGAGACACCTTTCTATACTATTCCTGCAGCTAATTATTATAATGCAACTCACTTTCGTCTTCTGAAGTCCAGACACGTTGAAAGTATTGGATAACAAAAGATACTTCTTTAAAGACTGTCACGTGATGGTGCCATTCTAAGAGGTGCCCAAGTTGTCACTGACTAACTCCAAAGGTGAGTTACTAACCCGTGCCTTGGAGGAGCTATGAAAGAATAGTTACTAGAAGCTACAAAAGACAAGAAAAGTGGGTTCTGAATAATTCTGAACATATCTTTAATGTCTTAGGAAGAAGCTTTTGTTTACAAGGGGAAAAAACCCCAAGTAAACAGGATCTAGTGACATGGCCACCTTCGATTAGAGTCTCTAAGAGAAAGGCCTTCCTAGACTCATAATACTCCTAGAGACCTCAACAGCAATACTTTGGGGGTCTTCATTGTACAGTCGGCTGTGTATGATGTGATTCAAATATTCCCCCAGGCCTGCTTTTAATGTCCAACGAAAAAAATAGTTTCCTTACTTTGTACTTAATTTTTTTTTTCTACCTAATGGCTCTGCTTACTCATAGTTTCTGTTACCTCATAACTTTGGCAAAGCCCATCATCATGTTTCCAGGCTGATTTCTACAACATTTAACTTTGGTTCCTCCTGCTAAATGACTCAGGCTCTTAGAATTTCCTAGTTCTGATTTTCAAGAGAATCTCACTTGCTGAGCTCATCTTTTGTAAGCCAGGCCATATCACAGTTTTCTCATCAGCTTTTGGATTGGCTGCCTTTGAGTCCAGTGTCTCATTCTTGGCCTAGGTGGGAATCACTAAGGAGGTGGAAACCTGTGCACTAAAATTATTATGAAGCAGTTTTTCCTGGTAAGGAACGTAGCCATGGTGAACAAGGTATGAAACATATCTAATAGAGCTTAACTCTTGCTAATTAGTAAAGCAAACTCCCTACATCCCATTCATCCAATTCAAAAGTTGTCCCCATCTGACACATTCCATCTATCACATGCATTGTAAATACATTGATACCTTAAGAATAGGATGCTTTTGTGTCAACTCCATCTAGTGCCTCCAGAAGAAATGACAAAAGGCCACATCAAAGACTATTTAATGATATTGGAATCCACTGGGCAATGGTCAAGACTATTGGTCTGGCGGTGGCTCACACCTGTAATCCCAGCACTTTGGGAGGCTGACGCGGGCAGATCACGAGGTCAGGAGATCAAGACCATCCTGGCTAACACGGTGAAACCCCGTCTCTACTAAAAAAAAAAATACAAAAAAATTAGCCGGGCGTAGTGGCGGGCGCCTGTAGTCCCAACTACTCGGGAGACTGAGGCAGAAGAATGGCGTGAACCAGGGAGGCGGAGATTGCAGTGAGCTGAGATCGTGCCACTGCACTCCAGCCTGGGCTACAGACCGAGACTCCGTCTCAAAAAAAAAACAAAAAAAACAAAAAAAACAAAAAAAAACCCAAAAAACTATTGGTCTGAAGCTAGGCTGTCTGGCTATGAAAGTTGGCTCCAATATATAATATCAGGGAAATTACCTTAACTTCTTTATTCCTCGGTCTCCTAGTCTGTAAAATGGGTATGTTCCTCAACTACCTTTTTTAGATTTTTGAGAGGATTAAGTGAATCTATGTATCTAAAGTGCTTAGAAGAATATTTGTCACATAGAAAACTAGCTGTTATTTTAAATAGTACCATTAAAGTATATTGGGTTTTTATTTATCTCCTCTTTGCAATCTGTAAAGTAAACAAACATTGCTAAACAATTGATATACAATAGTGGGAAATAACTAGAACTGTTATAACAACCAACTTTTGCAAAAGGGAAAAATGGGACACAAACCTTTATTTCTGTACCTGATGCCATGTACCATTCACTTGCTCTTGTCCTAAACATATATTTCATTTTCTGGAATAGTTCATTACCTTGTAACATATGGTTCTCATGGCTGGTACTAAAATGTCATTTATTTTGAGATGGTAGGATATTTAAGGGGATGAGTAATTTTAAGAGGATTAACTTGCCGCCTAACATTTTTTTTTTTACAGTGAAGAAAGTCATGATGCTCCCCTTCTCCAGAAAGCACAGAATATAACTTTATTAGCTGCAACATATAGCATGAAATATCAGAATTTCATTCCAGAAGCAAAGCCATTATAATGGCCTAAGTAATTCCAATTACCCCACCATTTCCACTAGCTTAAGCCCAATTCCTGGTACAAATTTGTTTTACTTGAAGTCTTTTTGTTTACTTAAATGTTTACCCAAAGTCTTTTTATAATTAAAAAGATTCTAACTCAAGTGGCCTTAATAAAAAGAGAGCTTCTCTTAAGAATATATGTGATCCAAATCTGGAATAAGAGTGTTGATGGGAATCAAAGAAGGTCTAGGAGCCAGTTCTTATCCATATCTCTCAGAGTAAATGAGACTCTGTATCTTAATGTCTTTTTTCCCTGAGTTTCTATATATTTTAGCTTTAGTTTGCCATATTCTCCACCTTAAAGCCCCTACACGACTTCATAGCTTCTCTCTCTGTGCCTCTTTTGACCTTCAGCAATGACTACTAATGGCTTGATTTTCTCTGTACTTCTCAATTAAAATCCCGGAGAAAGTGAGTGGTACCGGCCTAGCTTATTTTATTATAATTTCTTTACAGCTAGTACATTGACTACTGTTGGTCAATATCCATTTCTGCCTAATTTTTTGTATTTATTATTTTGTGCAAGCTATGTCTTCAGGGGTGGTGAGTAGGGATATTTCACTTAGAAGCTTATGCATGGGCAGAAAGTGTTTTTTGTTGTTATTGTTGTTGTTTTTTGAGACGGACTCTTCCTCTCGTTGCCCAGGCTGGAGTGCAATGGCGTGATCTGGGCTCACTGCAACCTCTGCCTCCCGGGTTCAAACGATTCTCCTGCCTCGGCCTCCCAAGTAGCTGGAACTACAGGCACCTGCCACCATGCCTGGCTAATTTTTTGTATTTTTAGTAGAGATGGGGTTTCACCATGTTGGCCAGGCTGCTCTTGAACTCCTGACCTCAGGTGATCCACCCACCTCAGCCTCCCAAAGTGTTAGGATTACAGGCTTGAGCCACCACGCCCAGTCAAAAGTGTTTTGAATAATAGGCTAATATAATAGCCTAAGAGAAAAGCACATTTTATTCCTCAGGGCATGATACTGACCAACAGATTTGGAGGACCATAAAGAAAACTTCATTTTCAGTGATGTCAATTTGGTAGCTTGAAATCACCCCAGTGGAAATATCTTCTCCTTGGGAAACCAGCAAACTCAACAAATCGGGGCTTCCCCACTCTGTGCCCCACCCTCACTCTTTCACTCTATAGCTGGTTCATCCACACACTACTGCCTCTTACCTTTCAATGACCTTGGCCATGCACCAATACCTGAGTCTATTGCTGTGATGGGAGAGTGGATTAAACAGGTTGCACAGGCCTGAGTAGCTCATTCATTACAGCTTTCCAATACAGCTTTTTCCATACATTTATTACATATGAGACAAATCAGAATGTACAAGCTTTTTAAATTCTTCTCTAGACTGTTAATTCTTACAAAATAAGAATGGCACTCTGAATTTTATTACCGTTATTGAATATAATTCAGCGTTAATAATAAATAGAGCACTCAATCTTATAATTATTTAGAAATTACCCCAAATGCTCCAAAATTAGGTTGTGTGTTTGTGTCTGTGTGCATATTTAACTAAAAAGCAAATATGATAGCATTCAGCAGTTGTAGCTTATTCATATCTGTACAATAAGGCCCTGTTGGTTTGCCCCAAATCATGTGAGCTCCTTTAAAAACACTCTTGTTAAAGTGAGCATAATATGGAGAGACTCAGCAACACTCGCTTATACATCTCTTACAGATACCTGTGTAATCATCAGAAGGTCAGCCTGACCATAGAAATCATTCCTCCTTAGTAGAATAAAGCCTAAATTTAAATGATACAAAACCTTGACATTTTTTATTTGTCCTAGCTGATGCTAAATGTTGACAAGATTCACAGAAGTTCCAAGGCTTCATATGTGATACAATCATTTGATTTCTCCTACTTTATGTTTTAATGAAGCATTTACAGTACATAAAGAAAACAGTTGGCTTTGTCTTAGATTTGCCCCTCATCCAGGGGATTTTTATTTCTAATATATTCCACGTCTTTGGACTCTCCTTCACCAGAAATAAGAATTTGTCCTTTTGAGGTATGGCAGCATCAGAGACAGATGGAAATAAAGATGCAGAAAAAAAACTTGGTTTTGTTCTACACACCTGACCCTCAACTGTACCCAAACAAGACTTGGATTTCCCTACTCCATTTTTGTATCGTATGTCTCAATAAAAGTGGTAAATATGAAAATAAAGATAGCCCCGGTGAATTAAAGACATTACCTAATCATCCAATGCCAATCCTTCCTCTTTGACTACGTATCAAGACTACTTTATAGGAAAAGTGATGAAGATATCCAGCATAATTATTAATAAAAATACATCCACACTAAAGAGATTGAAGATCAGAAAATTAAAGGTGCACCCACTCAGGCTGTATTGAGAACAGCTGGCATGGGAATACAGTCACAGTGACCTTGTCACTCTCTCTGCTGAATTGACTTCGGTATCATTCTTTTCATCCCCATATAGGAAGGAGAAAGCCACCTCCTGCGGATGTGCAGACTTACATGAGGTCTCCCTCCCTTGCTCAAAAGAAAGGTCACGAAAGCTGCATACTGATCACATTCTAAACCTTTTTGCCCAGGCCCCAGTGGAAGCCTGGATTAATGAGCCTGATAAACTCTGATTTACCCTTTAGGATAGCTCGAGAAAAAGACCCCACGGTGATCATTCAAGGTCAATAGGACAGGCCATCACCAAGTAGCAGCTCTCTTAACTTGCTATTGTTCCAAATGCCTTTGAATCACAATAGGCAATGGCAAATGTGCAAACCTTTCTTTCTTTCCCTTTCCTTGGGTGAGAAGGAGACACAGTCAAAGGTCAAAATTTCCAGGATGAAGTGATATGTCAAAGGTTACTAGAATGTTATATTTATCAAAATTGTTATTGATAAAATATTTTTTGTTCATAATCTTATTGTGATGATTTTACATTCAGATGACTCATTTATGTTGCACTGGCATCTCTAATATTTCCTTTTAGTTTTTCAACTTAGGGTGAAAATGGCAATTGGCTATAAAATATTTAAAGCATTTGTGAAAAAAATCCCATTTTGACAGAAATGCAAGCAGTAGATAGATGTACATTGTTTAATATATGACATCTAAATACTCATTGGATTAAGGAATATAAAAATGAGTTATAAATAGTTTAGTTATATTTCTGAATCATCCAGATGGCATAAAAGGATGTTGCTTGAGCTTTGATGAACCTGCAAGCATTTGATCCCCATATAGGAAGGAGAAAATCACCTGTGGAGGTGGAGACTTACATGAGGTCTCCCTCCCTTGCTAAAATCCTTGCTCAAAAGAAAGATCATATAAACTACATACTGATCACACTCTAAACCTTTTTGCCCAGGCCTCAGTGGAAGCATTTCTACCCTCAAGCATTTTATTTCAATTCCAGCATAATTTTCTACATATGTTTCTACCTTGTAGGACCTTAGTCACCTGCAATACAGCCAGTCGGTGGTAGGCCAGATAATGACCCCTAAAGATGTCCATGTGCTAGTCCCCAGAATCTGTGACTCTGTTGCCTTACATGGCAAAGGGGATGCTTTTCCATGTAAGGCAAAGCATCACATGCTGTGATTAAGTTATGGATCTTAAAATGGACAGGGGGTGATCCTGGATTATCAAAATTGGTCGGGGGGGGGCTTGGATTGGGCCCCTGGTGGGCCCAATATAATCAAAAAGGTATTATAAATCTAAAAAGGAAGCAGAAGAGTCAGAGGAGGAAGGGCAGATGTGACAATAGAAGAAAAGTTAGGAGCGATGCCAATGCTGGTTTTCAAGATGGTGCCAAAGAATATGGGCAGCCCCTAGAAGCTGGGAAAGTCAAGACAAGGAATTTCCCTCTGGAGCCTCCAGAAGGAATGCAGCCTTGTCCACACCTTGATTGGAGCCCTGTGAGACCCATTTAGGACTTCTAACCCCCAGAACTGTAAGTTAAAGTATTTGCATTCTTTGAATTCACTGAACTTGTAATAATCTGGTACAATGACAATAGGAAACAAATACATGATCTAATAACTTTATTATATAATTATAAAGAATCTTTGGGGCAATATATATATACTATATATATACACTTATATATACATATATATACACACACATATGTAACCTAATTTAATATCCATTACTAAAATGATTATCAACATATTTCAGTTGATTCAACCTTCCTTTACTTTTCAAAGACTTAGATCACTGTTGGATTTAGTGAAGAACCATGACTAAAATATCAAATTATTTATCTCTTAGTCAACTTAACATAATCCATGTTACCTGCCTTAAAAGTACTTGCAACTGTATTAACCCTTTACAATTACTGATCTAAAATTAAGCTTACTTTATTTAATGTTACTTAGTTTATTGTTGACAATTCAGAAAACAGTATTCTAAATAAGAGATGATGTTGAAATTTTGTTTTATTTTGAGATTAGCTATAAATGCCTTCTACATCTTGGGGATTCTGGGAACTAAAACTAAATAACCCATTCAACTTTGAGGAACTCATACAGTCACCTAACTCTTTAAATGCAATTTACTAAATTATGCAATGGGGTAATGAAAATGATCTAACAAATACACTTGTGTTTTTGTTTTAGGAGAATCTAGTAAGAATGAAATGTTTTATTCTTGAATCAAGTTTAGGAAATTTAAAATATTACCTTTATTTATTTTATTTGTTTATTTATTTATTTTGAGATGGAGTCTAGCTCTGTTGCCCAAGCTGGAGTGCAGTGGCGCGATCTCGGCTCACTGCAACCTCCACCTCCCAGGTTCAATTGATTCTCCTTGCCTCACCCTCTCGAGTAGCTGGGATTACAGATGAGGGCCACCACGCCCGGCTAATTTTTGTATTTTTAGTAGAGACGGGGTTTCACCATTTTGGCCAGGTTGGTCTTGAACTGCGGACCTCAAATGATCCACCTGCTTCTCTGCCTCCCAAAGTGTTGGGATTACAGGCGTGAGCCACAGCACTCAGCCAAATATTACTTTTAAACGTATGATATAGGCACTCAGAAATGTTATCACTCTTAATTATCACTTGCTTACATAAAAAAGAAACTTTGATTTTTATCAGAAGAAATAATACCTTTAATTCTCTTGCATATGTTTAAGAAAATTTTTAACTTCAAACTATATCTGTGCATTGAGAGGTTAACAATAACCTTCCCTGTATCATCAAGGCCAGAAGCAATGATGGAAAGTTCAAGATGAATACTGAATCTGTAAGTGTAAACATTTTTATAGAGATGGGGTGGAAATAAAGCATGCTTTTTCTTGTAGTTTAAGATTTTTCACTGTGAAGTAAGCAAATAATTGCTAAAACTTGGAATCATTACTTGGAAAAATTTAGTATGAGAAACTTCAAGAAGGAAAACAATTGGGTCGCAACCACAGACTATTTGGCTTCACCCCATTTGTTCCCTGAAGGTGCCCTGATGGATGCCAAACTTTCACAATTGTGCAATCTTTACCTTTAGGACTGAAAGTGAGGTCTTAACTGCCTGTATAATCTAGGCAAAATCTGGGCCTAAGTACTAAATACATTTTGATTGTCAAGTTCTCTGAAGTAGCCATTGTAGATCATGCTCAAAAAAATTTGTAATATCTGTTTGTGAGTTTTATTATTGGCAAAGCCTGCCATATCACATTGTTCGTGTGGACATAAGTGAGGAGCTCTGATACTGACCAGGGATTTAGCTTAATATAAGGTGACTGGTT
This sequence comes from Homo sapiens, assembly GCF_000001405.40. NCBI lineage: Eukaryota > Metazoa > Chordata > Mammalia > Primates > Hominidae > Homo > Homo sapiens. The sequence goes on from NC_000006.12 coordinate 22,899,940, forward strand.
GTTCAATCCTATTGTGCAGCCAATAATAAGTGCCTTCTATCTCACCAAATTTTGTTTCGTAAAGTAAGTAAGTGTGAAGTTAATAAACTATAAAACAGTTACATCTACTACTAAGTGTACACATAATATTTGAAATTCAAACTCTTAGAATAAACAGATATGGAATAAAAAAGAGAGGCAATAAATGTATAAGTTAGAGGATTTTTTGGCTAGACATTTTGATATACATTAAAATTAATTTAACATATATTAAGGAACAGTATAGTTCTAAGTGTTCAAGGAGCAAGGTTTTTTTGTTTCTTTTTGTTGTTGTTGTTGTTGTTTTGTTTTGTTTTCCAATAGGAATAAGTTAAATACTGGCTGAGTGTGGGGACTCATGCTTATAATCCCAACATTTTGGGAGGCTGAGACAGGAGGATTCCTTGAAGCCAGGAATTCAAGACCAGTATGGGCAACAAAGTGAGGCCCATTTCTTAAAAAAAAAAAAGAAAGAAAATAGCCGGGTGTGATGGCACAAAACTGTAGTACTAGCTACTCAGGAGGCTGAGGTGGGAGGATGCGGTGAGCTGTGATCATGCCACTACACTTCATCCTGGGTGATACAGCAAGACCCTGTGTACTCCAGCCTGGGTGACAGAGTAAGACGCTGTCTCAAGAAAAAAAAAAAAAAGCATGAATATATTAAATATTGTACTAAGATTTTCTATACTCAAAGTGCATAATTATCTCAAAGGATCTTTTTACTTCAGGCTACCTGAAGGCAAAATTATAAAGTAAGGAAAGTTTGCATTTAGTATTTCTTTTCCTACTATTTTTCACTTTTAAGAATAAATTTGTGACCCTAGGCCCCAAGCTAACCTGGATGCTCATACAGAGCCTTTTCTTCTTACTCTCAAAATGTTTTTTCTGTGTAAACTGTAGGATTCAGTGCTCTACTCTCTTGATAGTCCTGATTTAAGGGTAAGTGATTGTTTTTCCCTCCTGAGTTCTAGCCACTGTCCTGTTTGTAATGGGCTTATTCACATATTGAGTGATTTCCCCTCACTACCAGCCACGCAAAATGCATGACTCAAAAGTCTCTACCACTTCCATACTTCACAGAGGATCAAAAATGACCTGAAATAAATTATGCAGTCTCAGCTACGTAGACCAGGTTTGAATGTAAAAATGAAAAATGTTCTTTGGGTGGTTATATCTAAATAGCCCTAATGGGTTTCCATACAAGTGAAGTGGGGACTATAACCAAAATTTCATGGGAAATGACACTACTATAAGTAATTCAACTGATGTTACTTTATCCTATAAAACTGAGCTCCAACTGCCCAAGACATCGCAGGTGCAAAATTAATTTTCCTCCAGTTCCCCACCATTCTTGCCTTTACAACTTTTTCTACTGCAGCTAAGGCAGAGCCGTCTCAGGGGATCAAGGCATCATTCTGTCCTTGTTGAATTACATCTTTGAATGTTTTTGAGTTTTCCATTTTTGTGTGTGTGGTTTTGTAAGTTTATTTTTAGAGTTAGTGAGGTTTAGAGACAAGAAAAATATAAGGGTATCTGAGGCTATTTTTAAAGAACTAACACAATTGTATAAAATTATTTTTAAAAGCGGAAATAGGAGTGAGAGGAAGAACAATACAAGTTCTATATAAGTTATGTTTTATACAGTGAGCTTTGTAGCTAGCTGAAATGCTGAGAACTTAACGCAGTATTTGTTTTGTAGCCTTATTAGTCTATACTGCCCTCTAAATTTTCTGTTTGGTTCATCTTCTAAATTCATTTTTACTAATGGAAAATTGATATAGGTTATCTTCTAAATTCATTTTTATTAATGGAAAATTGATAAGAGACCTACATAGAAAAAAAATGACATAGTTCCCAAATTTATGACTGCGGCTTAAGGTGTCCCCATGGAAATCTTGAAGTCATGTTATAAGGGAACAAAAGAGCATTGAACATGAGGTAAGAGACTGGATCTAGAACAATTCCCCTCAGTCATGTAAATTTTGGCAGTGTTAACTCATAAGATGAAGACAAATAAATGAACAACCCCCAAATAACCACCTGAAGTAAATGCACCCCAACTGCCTAAAAATACTCAATGATATATTGCTGCTAATAATACAAAAAGTACAGTTCCTCCTCTGTTGAAGATTATTATGCTCTTTGTCACTATCTGAAGGTATAGATTACCACATCCTTGGCTCCCAATACGCATTAGTGAAGGTGAAGATGTTGACATAAAGGAACGACGATGGATTTGCCCAATGTCACCTAGTAAATTAACCAATGGAGAAAGGAGAGCAAAATACTGCTCCATTTTCAAACTCCATGGCAGAACTCAAACAAACTATACATCCCAACAGATGGAATATGCTTATGTATTCTTAAAACCTAAAATACATGTTTAAAAATAAAGGCCATTCTCTTACTTGTGTGCATTTTTTTAAACATTTTACTCTAAAGTGATTATAGGCATACATATTTTTGCTATTTTTTTTTAAAGAAATCTACAGAATCCAAGTATTTCAAACCTGCCAGGATTCCTTCCTCATTCATGTTGTTTGAGTGAACGATATTTTCCAAAATCCTGTCTGGTGATAAAATCTTATTAGAGAGAATAATAATAAATATACATTACAAATGAAATGTCCTCCGAACCCACACATATAAATACTTCCTTATCAATTTCCTCATAATTAAATAGTTAAGTTTTTGTATTCTATAAGTCATTGTGCTTGGAACTAAAGGTTTATTATTTATTTGTTTTTTTTTGAGATGAAGTTTCACTCTTGTTCCCTGGGCTGGAGTGTGATGGCCTGATCTCGGCTTACTGCAACCTCCGCCGCCTAGGTTCAAGAGATTCTCCTGCCTCAGCCTCCCAAGTAGCCAGGAATACAGGCACCCACCACCACACCCGGCTAATTTTTTATATTTTAAGTAGAGACAGGGTTTCACCATGTTGGCCAGGCTGGTCTCGAACTCCTGACCTTCAGGTGATCCACCCGCCTCAGCCTCCCAAAGTGCTGGGATTACAGGTGTGAGCCACCGTGCCCAGCCGGAACTAAAGTTATAACAAAATAATAGACATGTATTTGTCCCCAAAGTTCTTATAGTTTACTCGGTGAAATGGTATTTATTTATATCTTTAAAATTTTCCTTGCCGAAACACATGGTAACTTCTGGCACTCTCAGTTTCTTATATCGTCCAAATTCTTACTTGTAGAACAAGACACAACTGGCCAGCACAAGTTAAATGCCAAGTAAACAATATAGGAAATAAAGGCAAAACTGTACATTAAAAATAAAGTCACTTCTATAAAATTTCTTTCTTTTTTTTTTTTTTTGAGAGGGAGTATCTCTCTGTCGCCCAGGCTGGAGTGCAGTGGCGCGATCTCGGCTCACTGCAAACTCTGCCTCCTGGGTTCAGGCCATTTTCCTGCCTCAGCCTCCCGAGTAGCTGGGACTACAGGTGCATGCCACCACGCCCGGCTAATTTTTGTATTTTTAGTAGAGACAGGGTTTCACCATGTTGGCCAGAATGGTCTCAATCTCCTGACCTTGTGATCTGCCTGCCTCGGCCTCCCAAAGTGCTAGGATTACAGGTGTGAGCCACCACGCCCAGCCTGATCTCTCTCTCTTTCTTAGTGGGTTTTATGATTTTGCATTTACTTTCTTTTGTGAAATTTAGTTTAGTCATATTTCAAGACATTTTCATTCATTTTGGGATTGAGCTCCATCCTTTTAAATGGAAAGAGGGCTGGGTGGAATATGTAAAAGTGGGTGACCTTTATCCAGTGACGAAATTGAGAGAGAGATTTATGATCTCGAAACATATGTGTCTACATAGATGGCAAATCTCAGCATTTCCAGCCTCTGCCACTGCCTAATTTCCTTCTGCCACATTGTTTTGCGGCAGTGTTCAGTCATTGTCTTCCTCAGTATGTTTCAATTGACGGGAACATTTACAAATGAAATCCTTACTAAAGGTGAAGTAAAAGGATTTTCTCCTTTAAGATCTGAATTTAGGAACTGTCTTTCCCCATAACAGCTGATGACATCTCTTGTATCTAGGAACAGAAGGGAGAATCCATCTGTTGGCAGGAAGAGAAAAAAAGAATGTACACAAGGTAATGCACATTTGCAATTTATTCTAAACACCAGAGACAGGAAGTGTTGAGTTGAAGTCTCAAAGCTAAATGTCTAGGTGCAGTCTTTATTATTATATGCAATAGTCACATTTAGAGTGAACTTAAGATATGATGCTTTGAATAGCCACGTTTCTTCCCCTGAAATCATTTTTTAAAGTATAATCTATAATCTTAAAGATAGTGCCATGTTAGAAAAATTAAACTAGATATACAATGCACTTTAAAATGATCACTGCCATTTAGTTTGTTTCCACTATCATTTTAGATTATCTGATGCAGAGAGAAATCCATATTGAGATATGCCCTTTAACTTGGAGTCTCAGGATATTTTTCTTTATAATTTTGGTGCTTTAAAAATTATTGATTTTGTCTTAGGAGAAAACTATGTGCATACCAGGCCCACAAAATTGACTGAATCAGCAGAATAACCTGTCTGGCTTCTGTGTATTGCAAGTTCATCATTACCTAAAAAATGGGCTCTTGTGAGCTGCCTGGGTTGGATCATTTTAATGATGTGTTACAAAATATATCTGAGTGGTTATAAACAATCTCCCTTTTGTTTAAGAGAAAGAAAAAGAGCACAAGAGCAAGTAAAACGCTTCCTGTTGCAAAGTGGTGATCACTCTTAAAAACAATTCACATACTTTTTACAATGCTCCTCTTTGACTAACCACCCGCAGCCACACGAGCTCACAGCAGGGTGTGTATACGTGCATGCACGTGTGTCTATTTCCCAAAAATTTTTTGAATTTGTCGTATTTCACTATAGGTCTAAAAAATTAGGATTCTTTAAAATGGGTTTAACTTACATTTTAATGCTGAAAATACACAAATGACCTGAAAAGACTTTAAGGAATGGAAATCTTTGCCTTGTCAGGTTTGATGTAGTGAAAAAGGCCCTGAATTCCCAGTTCTTTAGTTTATAAGCTATCTATGGGAAAATTGTTTAATAGGTAACAATAGAACATCCCATATATGTGGTGGGGTTCATGTAAAGTGTGTCTGGCATATCACAGGTATTCTACAAGAGTGGTTGGTTGAATCTGACCGACATTTATTTTCACTAAGAGAATCGACATAACAGTTCAGAGGGTTTCTCATCATTTGGGGCTCAAACCAAACAAATCATTAAAACATACAGACGCACACACATAGATACACAGATGACCTTAAGAAGAAAACTAAAGCAAAGGGCTCAATTTTAATTTGAGGAAAAAAGACATTCAAGACATGATTCAAGTGAATCATTAGGACCTTTGAATATAGGTCTTATTTTATAAGATGTTCTAGCAGCATGGCACGATGGTCTGTACTCAGACTTAGTTTCTCTTGCTCAAAGCTCTCCTTGGAGTAAAGTAAACCAAGAGACTGAGGCGTAAGCTTTATCTTTCTCGTCCTACTCTCCAACATAGCACGACAGTGAGGTGGGTGGCAGGGGGGTTTAGTTAGCAGAAAAAAGCACACTTTTATTTGCCTTTATTTGAACTTCAACTCTGCTGGGAGTGAGCACAGCGTCCACATTTATAGAGAAGAGCCAGAGTAGAGTTTTATTGCTAACAGTTTTGCATTCCACCTGCTTTAATATAAATGGGAGAAGAAGGCACATGCTAACTTTCTTTTTCACATTCGTTGAAGTTTCTGTTGGATCCCACACTTTCTGAATAAGGATTATTTTGACATGAGGTCCAACCTGAAATTTCACAAAAAGTCATTAACTGTTTCTCCCTTTTATGAATGAGGCAGTCAAAATATCAGGATATGAAGGAGATTCTATTTATTTATTTGATGGAGATTCTATTTTTTGATGCCAAGAACTTTAGAGGATCCCTTTTCTGGAACCAACCTCAGCTAATTCTGGTGTCAAGACTTTGCCAGGATAAGACTTACTCAAGTACTTTCAATAAAGAAACTACATTTGAATAAAGTGAAACTTTATGAAACTACAGTTTCTTTATTTCCAGTCTGTGAATTAACTGAAAAGATTGTTGAAGATCATTCATGAAATCCTTTTTTCTAACACTCAGTGAGTCTATGGAAGTAGATGCCCTGAGGCAAAAATTGAAAAGAAAGGGCCCAATCTACACAGAAGAAACTCTGTGGAAACAGACCCTACCACTCTACCACCGTGCTGTACTTGATACACACCAAGAGTCTTACTGAGGTCACACCCTTCACCAGGAATTTGAAAAGCAGTTCAAATTCCAAAGAAAATTCATTCTAGAGCTCCCTCCAGAGGTCATGATAATCTCCACTGCTGCAGGAATTCTGGGGAAGAGGCGGGAAAACAACACACACACACACACACACACCCCACACATACATACCACACACAAATACTCCACACACACTACCCACACCCACACATCACACACACACACACACCCCACACACACAAACCACACACACACACCACACACACCACGGAGACACACACACTAGACACACCTCTGTGCTCTACCATCTCTTTCTTCATTCCATTGCCTCCCTCTACTACTCATAAAAATGGCAAAACCTCTCACACAACTGGACAGAGGGTCCCAGCTGGGCAACTATGCCCATAGGGCAGCTTGTTCCCATTGGCTCTCAGAAGCCTGTTGCTGTCAAAGGCAGCTGAGTACCTAATGTGTATTATTCAAACAAACAAACAAACAAACAAAAAGTGAAGCTCCTAGCAATTGTGGCTTTCAGAACAGAACTCCTCAAACTCTAATGCACTCAGGAATCACCAGGGGATCTTGTTAGAAAGCAGATTCTGATGCATTAAGTTTGGGGTGAAGTCTGAGATTCTACATTTCAATAAGCTCCCAGGTGAGACAGACACCAATGATACTCAGACCACAGTTTATCATGGTTCTGAGTATGAAGATCTCAGCACCACCTCTGGTAGACCTTTTAGAGCTGGGTTCTTGGGGGAGCTATCTAATATCAATACTGTACCCAACAGATCTTCCTAAGATGTTTTCACCAGGAGTTACTAGCTTTACTATGGGAAGCAAGTCTATGCAACAGCAAATGGATTTCTACTTTGAGATTTTTTTTTTTAACACAAGATTTGCTGTGCCTTGAGGAACAGAGAGCACTGGTCCCCTGAGTCTTTGCTGGCTAAGTCCTCATGTTATCCAAGGGTCCTTTGCTGATGTTAGAGCATTAAGTCTTTTGAGCAGTCCTGGCAATGTTTAAGCTAGACAATTGGCTGATGCAGCCATTACCTGACTTACCTGCCTCTTTTTCAGAGGGTAAGTTCACAGAGGATACCAGGGCAGGTGATTCCCAGGAAGACACTAATTCCATCCTCACTCCCTACACACACTTTTCACCCAGCAGGCTTTTTATATGGTGACTGTTTTCCTCAAGAACCACAGCATACAGTATCGATAACCAAAGTCAGTGGACTTGAAGCTCCAGTATCTTCTAGACCAAATGTCGACACAATCTCAGTGGAGGATAAGCAGCATCTTCCACTGATGTTAGCTCCTCTACCCTTAGTCTTTGTCAACTGCTGACTCCCAGGTCTCTCTTCCACATTCACTGAAGACTTGACTCCTGTTTTGTGGCTTTTATCTTCCATCTGTATTGATACCACCCCTCACACACTTCTCCACTCATACCACATCTTTGGTTCTTGCTGCTGTTTTCCATAACATTTTTTCAAATAGTCATCACTCTCTTGGAGTCCCGTAGGGCTAGGATTTTGTTAAAATTAATCTTAACAAAAATTCTAGTCTCTTATTTCACTGAGAATAGCATGCTTCCCAATCATTCTTCCAAATTAATATATCTGCATCATTTTGCACCTGTTTCTCTTGTCCTTACATCTTAGGATGAGTTCCTCCTCCCTGCAAGGCTAATAGCTACACTTGAACCCTGATGCCATCAACGTCTTCCACTGAGGCTCACCAGTTATCTGCTCTTTTACCTAAAACAATAATTCTCTCCTTTGCTCTCTCATCTGGCTTGTTTCCTTCAGCATATAAATATACTTGAAACCTCTTACAATTTTGCCATGATTTTTCCTTTCAATGATTATACATTTCCCTCCTTCCTTGAATAACAAAGTTCCTAGAAAGAGTAGTCAGAACTTGAGGCTTCCAAGTCTTTAATTCTCATTCCATTTCTCATCAAATGCAAGGTGGTTTCAGTATCCATTATCCTACAGAGCCTGATCTTGTCAAGATCCTCAAAGATCCTAGCTGCTTAGTACAATGAATGCTTTTAAGGTAATACTTTGATCTTTCTGAAATGTTAACAGTATAAGTTCTTTCTATATGTTTGAATCTCTTCACTGTCTTCTAGTTTATCACTTTTTCCTGAATTTTCTGTTCTGTCCCTGACCACCTCATTATTGTTTAATTTTATCTAATTGAGAACTTTATAACAGGCATCCCAGGCACTGTGGTGTGGTACAAATGGATCATAGTTGTGGTGGAGACTGTGTTGCTACAGAATTGACTATGGGTGGAGGGCAGCAGGAGTCCTCAGAGAGTTGACTCTGGTCTCACGTGTCATGCAAACTAATGTTCATTATCTGTGTGTGTCATAATTTTGTAAGTATTAGGAATCAATTTTTATTACATTGAGAGTTTGTTGGTTTTAGGGTCTGGGCTTAAGGTCTCTTTAATGTCTTCTTTTTTCTTCTCTTCTCAGGGAATCTCCCCTCCCAATTCTTTTTTTTTTTTTTTTTTTGGACAGGGTATTGCTTTGTTATCCAGGCTGGAGTTCTGTGGTGTGATCTTGGCTCACTGCAACCTCGGCCTCCCAGGCTCAAACGATCCTCCCACCTCAGCCTCCCAAGTAGCTGGGACCACAGTTGTGTACCAGCACACTCAACTAATTTTTGTATTTTTTGTGGAGACGAGGTTTTGCCATAATGCCAGGGCTGGTCTCAAACTCCTGGGCTTAAGAATCCTCCTGCCTCAGCCTCCCAAAGTGCTAGGATTACAGGCATGAGCCACCACAACTGGCCTCCCCACTCTGACATGTGAATGATTTCCATATCTAGTTCTGAGCCACATTCCAGATTTGCAGATCCAACTGCTTCTTTCCCCAAAACAACCTGCTGATTTCTGAGGCATCTTGGATTCTTCAAAATGTTTTGAACTGAGTTCATTATCTTTTCTACCCTAAATGGAACTTTTGACTAAGTCTGGCATATTGAGGAACGACCTAGTCTTCTAATCAGTTATCCAAACTGGAGACTGATGATCATCTTTTCTGATGTTTTATTTTTCCTCCCCATCTCATCTATTGGTCATTATATCCTGTTCTTTCCATCTCCTAATTACCTGTTGTATCTAACCCCATGCAAATCTTGATAGGTCAGTGTCTAACTTAAACATTCATTAACAATTCCCTACTGTCATTAGGAGCAAATTGAAAAACCTATTGATGACACACAAGGACTTTTTCAGTTTTGACCCCCATCAAGTCAGCTTTATTTCTTGTCATGTTCTTTCCCCCTATATCCACGTCCATTCCTTAAGCTCCAGCCATGTTCAACTTCTTGCAAGTTTCCTGATGTATTATGTTGTATAATTCTCACTTTTATTCTTCACAGGTTCTTTTTAACTTGACAAATTCATCTTTATTTTTCATGACTGATCTAAGCTGTTCTTCAACTTGGCTTTCTTGGCAAATCTTCTACAGCCTCCTTAGAATTTCACTTTGCCAAAGTAATTGACACTCTATATTGCAATTGTCCATTTATTCATGACTAAATGCAACTGTGAGAACTTTGGTGGCAGGTACCATGTCCAGTTCATCTATGTATCTCCTGCCTTTACCATGAAACCAAGGGTTACAGGCTGAACTGCATGCCCCGCAAAAGGCATGTTGAGTCCTAACCCCCTGTGACTCAAAATGTGATCTTATTTGGAAATAGGGTCTTTGCATATTTAAATGAGTTAAGATTGGCCGGGCACGGTGGCTCACGCCTGTAATCCCAGCACTTTGGGAGGCCGAGGCGGGCGGATCACGAGGTCAGGAGATCGAGACCATCCTGGCTAACACAGTGAAACCCAGTCTCTACTAAAAATACAAAAAATTAGCCAGGCATGGTGGCGGGTGCCTGTAGTCCCAGCTACTCTGGAGGCTGAGGCAGGAGAATGGCACGAACCCAAGAGGCGGAGCTTGCAGTGAGTAGAGATCGAGCCACTGTACTCCAGCCTGAGCAACAGAGTGAGACTCCATCTCAAAAAATAAACAAACAAACAAATAAATAAATGAGTTAAGATGTGGTCATTAAGCAGGGGACTCTAATCCAATATGACTGGATTATATTCCCCTTATACAAAGGGGAAATTTGGACACAGACATGCAGAGGGAAAACCTTTTGAAGACACACAGAGAAACTTTCACGTGATATGAAGACAAAGATTGGGATTACGTGTCTGCAAACCAAATAATGCCAAAGGCCCCAGACGAACCACAGGAACTAGAAGAGGCAAGGAAGGATTCCCCTACAGGTGTCAGAGAGAGCATGGCCCCACTAACACCTGGATTTCAGACTTTCAGCCTGCAGAACTACGAGACAATACATTTCTGCTGTTTTTAACCACTCAGTTTGTGGTACCTTGTCATAGCAACCCTAGCAAACTAGTACATGGAACAATACCATGTGATGCATGGAACAATCTTAAATAAATGAATGGGTAGGTCCCCCACACACAGAATAAGTACCAAAAGTACGGAATGTCTCACTTCTATAATGTGGTCAGAAGAAGAAATGACAGTCTTTGTCTGTAAAATGCAAGTGATGATAATAATAATTGTACTTTCCTGAGGAAGCTGTTGCAATTAAATGAGTAAATATACATGAAACACTTATAAACAGAATATTAAATGGCCAAAAATGTTTATTACTATTATTATTATCACTCTGTATGGAACATGGGAGGGCACGTTTACACCAGAATATCGAGGTCTAGGACATGGGTTCTACAAGATCCCAGCTCTTGCACCCAACATGTGCTTTCTCCATAACTGACCGACTGTGAGACTTTCATTGCCTGTCAGAGGCCAGATACGTGCTGGCAACCATAAGTGTGCTTGGCATTGGGCTACAGTATTTTCCCTTCAAAATGAGTGTCTGAAATTGTCGTGTAAGTAATGAAAACAGAATAAAACAAAACACATGATTCATTTTAGATCAATATTTGTTTTATAAATAACTACTAAGGGGTTTTTTAATTAAGTAAACTTGTCAAGAAAAATCCAAGTTTCAGAAAATAAATGATTATTCACATGACATAAGAATATTTATTTTCCAGAACTTTGTTAAGCAAGATACAGAATTTATTCAAAGCTAAATAAAAATATAAATTGTGTTTAAACCTTTTTGTTCAAAATTCTAACTCATAGAGACAGTGTGAACATTTTGACTATGAATGAAATTTGGATGACCTTACAGATTACTCTTTTTGCTTTCTCTACTCAGAAGTGCTGCCTCCTTTAAGGACCTTCCTTAAGAACCCTGTAACCTAATAATCTTCTAAGAGTTCCCTAAGCCCTCATTAAATCCTGCTAACAAAATTGAATCTAATGATATAAAAATCTTATGTTATAAATGACAAACATATTTAAAATGTTTGCCATCCCCAGGAATGTTTAAGATCATCAAATGGACTTCAGGTCTCTTCATTGCTCTGAGTACATGAAAAAGGGATTTTAAGGGGCTACACTTGGGAGGCTTCCCAGTGAACCCAGTAGCACACCAGGTAGGAGACAGCTCATTCCACACACTTCAAGGGTGACCATGGCATTGAGTTCAATGAGTGAAATCTTTATGTGGCAAGTGGCACCTTATTGTCTTTGATGATTTTATGATAATCTCAGTTCTCCAAGCCCTTTTCAGACATAGGGGAGTATCCAGTTCAGTGAATTTCACATACTTTAGGTGTTTATGAGGGTTTGGAGAGGGATTTTCTTCAGTACTCAATTTCTTCATCTTGTCATTCATTCAATAAAGCCAGGGAACATACAGGAATAAAATAATTCATAAATGTGTTACTTGCTTTATAAACATACTTTGGGAAGCAATCATAAAGTAAAACAAGTGAACACCAAAGTTGAAAGGAAAGCAAGAAAGACAATTCTCACTGAAAAATAGAAGACTGGTTGTCAGTTGCTGAAGATGTTCTGTGGCCTGGAATAGCCAGGCCCCTGAACTCTTCATGGAGTGATGTAACATATTTTACACAGAACAAATATAGTTTTGTTGAGAAAAAAGTGAGGATAAAAAGAAGAAAGAAAAGTAAGAGACAAAACACCTTCTACTTGACTGGTTGGTCTTACTGGCAGCATGCAAAGGATGAATTGGTGGTTTATGCAACCGAGAAAGAATGTGAAAGAAAAGAGAGACTAAGTAAGCAACCAACAATTTTAGGTTGATCTCACATGTCTCACTTTCCTTATATTCACATTAGCACTATTCAGTTTCCTTCGCTGTATGAACTTCAGAGTGACTCTGAAGCATGGGGGAGGGGAACAAGCTCACAAGTGCACAGTGAAATGCTATTTGCTTTGAGGTTGGTGGGTGCATTATTGTAAAGAAAATTGAACTGAAATGAACTGTTTCTAAATATTATTATATGTCATGACTATTTTTGCACAAAAATAAGAAATGAAGACAGTGACTTGCCAGCTATGCTGCATATAAGCAAGACACTTATCTTGCGGAAGGGACAGTCTTTCAAGAAAAATAGGATCTTTTCAAAAAGGGAGCATTTCATTTCCAGAAGACTATCCCAGCAACGAGAATATATTAGTACTAGTAATACTTGTGATAATGTTAATAGATTCCTGACTTTATTTGATTTGTAAAGGAAGAAATACCATAATTTTTTTGTTTTTCTTTACACACTCAGGTTAAACCACACTAACATAAAATCACAGATATGTGATACTTGTTATCTCAATATTAATGAGAATAAAATTAAAGATGCCCTTTTCTTCATGTTTATGTAAAATAAACATTCAGAAAATGGTGGTGACCAGTGATTCTCACTGGAGTGGCGGTGGAGGTACTGTTGACAGGTTGAGCTAGGATGTCTGGTATATTACAATGAAATCAGCATCCTTTCTCCTACTCATTAAATACCAGGAGCACTCTTACCCTCAATTATTGGGAAAACCAAGAACATATAGCTTCTTTCCCCCACCTACTCCTTGACACATACATTTGCAAACATTGTCTGGGTGACTGGTGCTATCCCTGATTGAGAGACACAGATCTAGAATTAAAAAGTATATTTTTCTTAAAATGGGAAATACAATTTCAAGGAACATATTTATTTTTTCTCTTTTAATTTCCTCTCCCTTCTCCCACCTCAAACAGGCTATGAATCCAAGAACAAATTTCTAGTTTTTAGACATAATCCACTACTTCAGAGTGAGAAAATATGTTCAGTATCTGGCACAGAGTAGGTATTGATGAACTCTGAGTTTCTCTCCGGACTCATCCTTGTTTTGCCAAGAGTAGAAAATAAAGTAAGGAAACATTTCATGTTGAAATATTTTGGTTATGGGTTTATTGCTCATTTGGAAATGGTAAGTCATTTTCTTACCCACTGGCTTATCAAAATCAGGCCATCCACTCTTGTTCTGTCACCTGAATGGACAAGGCATAATTTGCTTTCTATTGGAACACAGAACCCAGTCTTTTCTAGCCAAGTTGCAGGCGAATTTCAGCTGTAGGCATTATCAACCATAAAAGGAGGCCATGTACAACAAGGCACAAGCACTTTGCTGACTGATAGAGACTGCTATTTTATTTTTGGAAAGTAGCCTAAAGCTATTATTGCTGTGGGTTTTTGACAGGCGTCATATATTGCTATTTCAGAAGAAAATTTAGCTTTAAAAATCAAGTAGCCTGAGGGTTTGGAAGCATACTTAAATTTTTAATAAGTTGTCAAAAAATACTTTGCAGTATTCATTTGTAACTGAACTTAATTCTGCAGATTAATATGTAAACTGCCCAATCCCATTAACAGTTTGTTGTTCAAAAACAGTTAAAGGGCCAGTTATCAAGTTAATGCAAAGAGAAACAGGAGATGCTACCGGATTCCTGTCATTTCTCTTTGTGCTAAACAGAGATGTACTATCCTGAATTTATTTTTGTCTAGAACTAAACTGAAACCTTATTTTAGCTGGTTTTAATTTGAAACCTTATTTTAGTTGGTTTGAATTTGTGCATGCAAGTAAACTTCTCAGAATAGACTCTGCAATAAAACTTATAATTATCCATAGGTCACTGAGAAATCCATTTAGCATCCAGAAAGGGAAAGAGAAAGATAGAGAGCAAGGAGAGAGGAGAGTAAGAAGGAAAGAGGGAGGGAGAGAGAGAGAACAAGAGTATCTTTTGGTTGATGCTGAGGTGATGATATCAATTGATGACTTAGTCATCTGCAAAGCAGCCTTCAGAACTGATTATCTGATGACTGTCAACTGATCAAACTTGTGTACAAATATAAAATGTTGATTATTTGGTTGACTCAAACATTGTTTTTGGTGCGGCAAGCAGGTGGGTCTGGGATAGAATGATAGGACCATGAGTGGTTTGGATTAGGTCTAAGAGAATGTAGAATGTCCTCATGGAATCTTCGCAGTCTCATAATGAAACAAGCAGGACATTCTAATCAGACAGAGGCTGTTTTGAAGTCTACATCTTTCACTTCTAAGTTTTGGAACTTTATCCAAGATTTTTATTCTGTCTGAGTGTCAGTCTAAGTAAAAAATTTCATTAACAATGAAAATAATAATAACAAAAGTAATACTTGCTTTATTGTGTTGTTATGGGTTTCCTAAGAAAAAACTTCTGCAATTGTTTCTGCATTGAATAACCAGTATTTCCTTTTCTGTTTACTAATGGTTGGGACCCAGGGCCAAAAGAGTGGCTCTAGTAAACTTCTAGAACTTATTTAGGCTATTCAGGATGACAAACATGTGGGTCAAATACCCAGGGAGTGGTATGTGACTACTGTATACTAGAGTTAGCCTGTATACAGTCTTACAGGGCACAGAAATAGGACACAGAATCAGCTGCTTTCTGACTAGTAGGAATAAATCCTTAGAATACAGTTTCCAAGATGTTTAAAACTGTATCTAAAATGTAGAAATAACCTGGTACAGTCTGTAGGATCTCCTTTAAATAATGCAATACAAAATCAAAATGTAGTGAGAAATAATAAGATAAAATTGGCAAAATGATGATACTTTTTTGAAATTGGGTGCTAGCTACATGGGAGTTTCTTCTACTATTTTCTCTACTTTACGTGTGTTTGAAATTTTCCATATTTTTTCATGTGTTTTTTGGCTGCATAAATGTCTTATTTTGAGAAGTGTCTGTTCATATCCTTTGCCCACTTTTTGATGGGGTTGTTTGTTTTTTTCTTGTAAATTTGTTTGAGTTCATTGTAGATTCTGGATATTCGCCCTTTGTCAGATGAGTAGGTTGTGAAAATTTTCTCCCATTTTGTAGGTTGCCTGTTCACTCTGATGGTAGTTTCTTTTGCTGTGCAGAAGCTCTTTAGTTTAATCAAATCCCGTTTGTCAATTTTGGCTTTTGTTGCCATTGCTTTTGGTGTTTTAGACATGAAGTCCTTGCCCATGCGAGAAATGCAAATCAAAACCACAATGAGATACCATCTCACACCAGTTAGAATGGCGATCATTAAAAAGTCAGGAAACAACAGGTGCTGGAGAGGATGTGGAGAAATAGGAACACTTTTACACTGTTGCTGGGACTGTAAACTAGTTCAACCATTGTGGAAGTCAGTGTGGCGATTCCTCAGGGATCTAGAACTAGAAATACCATTTGACCCAGCCATCCCATTACTGGGTATATACCCAAAGGACTATAAATCATGCTGCTATAAAGACACATGCACACGTATGTTTATTGTGGCACTATTCACAATACCAAAGACTTGGAACCAACCCAAATGTCCATCAATGATAGACTGGATTAAGAAAATGTGGCACATATACACCATGGAATACTATGCAGCCATAAAAAATGATGAGTTCATGTCCTTTGTAGGGACATGGATGAAATTGGAAATCATCATTCTTAGTAAACTATCACAAGGACAAAAAACCAAACACCACATGTTCTCACTCATAGATGGGAATTGAACAATGAGAACACATGGACACAGGGAGGGGAACATCACACTCTGGGGACTGTTGTGGGGTGGGGGGAGTGGGGAAGGATAGCATTAGGAGATATACCTAATGCTAAATGACGAGTTAATGGGTGCAGCACACAAGCATGGCACATGTATACATATGTAACTAACCTACACGTTGTGCACAGGTACCCTAAAACTTAAAGTATAATAATAATAAGAAAAAAAAGAAAAAAAAAAGAAATTTTCCATAATAAAAATATAACATTGGCATTCCTGAAATTTTTTTTGCGTCTTGGGCCACTTTGAATAGCTAATGAGGGAAACTGATACTCTGTCCAGAAATACATACACATTCAAAAATATGTGGCTATGTTTGCAATTGGTTCACAGTGAAGTGGTATCATTCATCTGCGGTAATACCTGAGGCTTATTGTCTCACACCAAGGAAATCAAGGATGTGGACACACAAAGAATAAGTTTAAGAGCAGATTTTAAAAGACAAAAGAGAAAAGCTCCCTTGTGCAGAGAGAGGGGGTTCTGAGCAGATCTCCCTGGTTTGCGACAAGATGTGGTTGGTTTTATAGATGAGCTTGAGGAGGTGGTGTTTGATTTACATAGGGCACAAAGGATTGGTCGGACCAGTTGTGCCATTTACATAGCACGTGATGAAGCTGGCCACCCCACCCTAATATTTTATTATGCAGATGGTTTCTCTACCTGGCCGGCACTATGTTGTCTGCTTCTTTACTGCACATGTAGCAACAAGGAAGAAAGAAGATGGACCCTCTATGTTGAACATACCTGGTTTCCAGGTATCCCTTTTCTATTGGCACAGCTGCTGGCATTTACATGTGCAAGCTTCCAGCTTGCTTATTTATGTTTGCAGCTTGATTTTTCAGGCTGCTTTTTGTTAGAAAAGAAATGATTTGGAGCCTGCTTTTTATTAAAAGGAAATTCCTCCGAGGGCTCTCTTACCCTCACTATCTGTCTAAATAATTTCTTTTTAGCTTTTGTATTATTGGCTCTCTCTTTTCCCCTTTCCTCAACCCAAAGTCCATCCGTGTGTCTCCTGCATTCAACAGACTCCTTGTTTGTACACAGGAAATATCTCCAAATCAAGACTCTTGGAGACTTTAGACTGGGTCTTTGGGCCATCAAGTGCAATTCATGGTTCTCATTTCTCAAAGCTTGGCTTTAGTTCAGATCACTTTTACTTTCTACTTTTCCCAAGCACCTTCTGCTCTATGTCACACAGAACTTTCTCAAGGGTGACAGTGCTTCTCTCATCTGTGCTCTGTTTAAACAAAGGCAGGGAGCCAAGGTCAAGTCAAAGAAAATAAGTGGCTTGTGATACTGTGCCACATAGCCACAGAATTGTTTATGACAGCAGAGGCATTTTCTAAACTCTAATCAAAGGAATTTAGGAGATTACTCAGCAGATGATTAGTATTATACACGTCCAAACTGATTATCGTTTCATGAAATGGAAGCTAAGTCAGTATAAACCAGGAAAGTCAGCCAAACACTTTATTGGTTAAAAACCTGGATTTTGGTTACAAAGACCAAAATTCAAAACTCAGTTTCATAAGTCTATTATTTTTGAGACCTCAAGCAAATCCCTTACTTCCATGAGCTTCAGTTTTTTTTTTCTTCTGTAAACTGTGTGACATCTAATTCTGACTTGTTGAAAAGATTAAAATAAGATACGAGTAAGATCCCTCCAACCAATGGTGGCTATGACCAGGTTTTTGGGTAGTACTCAAAACCTCGTTATTTTACCTAATAGAGTCCTCAAGTATATCAACAATATGTCATCAGGCATCTTGGATGTGCTTTTATAACATCATCTTTTTCTCAGAACTTACATCTCCTTAGGCTCACACTTTTCTTTACTGATTTTCCTGATTTTTCAGCCTCTCTGAACATATACCCTGATAATCCTCCAGTTCATCTCCCATCTTCTTATTCTATGAATGAATCCTTAGGATTTTATCTAACCTCAGGGTTTTAATTATTATTAATTTCCTAATGAGTTCCAGTCATTTTAAAAGATCTTCAATCCTTCCTTACCCCTGAGCTCCAGACTTTGAAGTAAGAATGACAGAAAGTCAACATTTCCGGAGCTGAGTTTCTAGTCCCTGTCTGTCCTCCTCTCTACCATTGTTACCACTCTTGAGTTTTTCCATCTCAGTTTCACTAATCAACTTATGTAGATCCTCTTTCCCTCAGCACACAAATTCAAATAACTCCTATTGAATCATCTTCCTAATAATTATTATCATGTTCTTTCCTTTCCTCTCTCTCTCCTGCTTCCACTTCCTCAATTCATCATCACCTCTCCCTTTAATTGCTAAAATAAACTCATGACTGGTTTCCCCAACTTTGTTTTTCTCCTTTTCCAATACCAACAGCTCTCAAAATGTGGCTTGTGTGAAACGTGAAGTTGGTCTTGAACTCTTCTACTTCAAAGTCAGTCGACCTACTGACTTGTGGCCACCACAATTGTCTTGACTTCCATTACCTGCTCCTTCTTGACTCATATTTTATGTTTTCGCAAAAACAAAACCCATGTGGGTTTCTCTCATTCAGTGACATTTTATATCTCCTTGCCTTTGATCTTAATATTCTGAGTGTGTGAAATATTCCCTCCCATTTTTTTATTGTCATGTAGTAACTCATCCTCATTCCATGAGATTCTTTCTTCCTTAACTCTTTGCAAAAATTTCCTTCATTGGCTGGAATAGCTGCAAAACCCTGCGCTTCCATTCCACACCATGGCTCTATCGTAGCTTCTGAGTTATTTCCAACTTTCCAGTTAGACATAAGCTCCTCAAGAGCAGGGATTTTACCTTATCAGCATTAGGAATTCTTGTAATATGGCACATATTAAGAACCTAGCAAATGTTTATCGTACAAAATTAAAAATGTTCCCTATAATCATAGAATATTTTTCAAATGCAATAGCAGGTCAAAACTTTAGGAAAATATAAAGTAGTAAGATTTTTCTAAATCTAGTATATATGATTGTCAGAACTACTCACCACATTTCTTGTAAAGTCAATGATTTCTCCTGGAGTGATTTTATTCCTTCATTGGCATAAGAAAGCTGAAGCCAGAGCACTAAGAATGGCAGGAGATAGGCTTCAAAGACCTTCTGATCGCAAATATTTTCCTTGTGTTACCTCAAATTCAACAGTATGCATGCTTTTCAAGTTCTATCAACTAAAGGTTACTTTTGGCTAATAGAAGGGTGTTAATCATTAATTCATCCGTGTCTACTGGAAACGAGAATATTTCCCTCTGAGATAATATTGGTTAAGGAGTGAATTTTTTGTATGGATAACAGAGAAAATGAGGGAGAGGATTTTTCTTCAAATATGGGGAGTTGGAGGAGATGGATTTGAGCAGCCTGACTGTACTTTGGGGGTTCTCCTTGCAGTGTTGTTGCAATGGTTGGGCACTACAGCACTCCAGCTTGCATTACATTGGCATTACATTGTAGAGAATTCACATTACAGTCTATGCAAATTGTGTAATCTGTGTAGATATAGTTGGCAGCTCTCTGACTGGCCCTTGATGAAAGACAGTCAGAGAGGAGAGTTACATGGTACTAATGCAATGTAGAACTAGAGTGAATGGGCATAAAAAACAGTTATTGTGCTCATAGCCACTGTAGCAACCAAGGCATGAGAATATAAGAGCAAAATCAATTTTTAAAGGAATAAAATCTATTCAATTCAACATCTAGGCACAAGGACTATCAAAAAATAATCTGTCAGAAAATCTCCATTGAGGTCAGGCGCAGTGGCTCACTCCTGTAATCCTAGCACTTTGGGAGGCCGAAGCAGGTGGATCACCTGAGGTCAGGGGTTTGAGACCAGCCTGGCCAACATGGTGAAACCCCGTCTCTACTAAAAATACAAAAATTAGCCAGATGTGGTTGCACATGCCTGTAATCCCAGCTACCTGGGAGGCTGAGACAGGAGAATGGGTTGAACCTGGGAGGCAGAGGTTGCAGTGAATCAAGATCATGCCATTGCACTCCAGCCTGGGTGACAGAGAGAGACTCTGTCTCAAAAAAAAAAAAAAAAAAAAGAAAAAAGAAAAAAGAAATCCCCATTTAATTAGCGCTGGGAATATAAGCAATTTTTTTCCCCCTGGCAGACAGAAACATCCGAGAATACAGATTTCTCCATCTTGTGAGATTTCTAATTGTTTAACATGTAATATGAAGAAAATTTTGCTGGCCATTTGCTGAGAGGGTTGAGTATTAAAAGGAAAATAAACATTTATCTTGAATATATTCTGACTATGGTGGTAAATTTCCCAAAATTAAAAAAAATACACTTTGGGTACGGCAAAGGACCTTATTTTTCTGATTTGTAGAATTATTTATAAGTATAGAAAACAAGACCAGGTCTTTGAAACTGGAATCATCATATAAAACCTGAAATATATTGTTGTCTGTATTTTTATGCAGAAAAATTCTCTTAGCCTAGGCTATAAAAATGTTTGATATCTTATTGGTCCTGTTAATATAATATAGTCCATCTTTAGAGAGTTAAATGATTCCTTAACCTGAAGGATATGTGATAAAGTATAGAAACTAGTGTCAGTAATTAAATAAGAAGTACATGATGATATTGTGTTCTAGTGATCTTTAGCTCTTGGGTACAGATGAACTTATGAATTTATGCTCAGAAAGATACCTCCCAAAACAATGAATGGCTTCAATCTAGCCTTTCAGTGTAAAGTTACTCTTATCACTTTTTTCTATATTCTGAGAGCCAAAAATATGTTTGATTGGGAATTGGGAATAGATGAAATCCCTGCCCATGGCAGAGAGAGTCTATAGATGTTTCCAAAAAATTTATCACAGCAATGGCATTCACAAAAGCAAAAAGAAATCTATCTTCACTGTTGAAATAATGTTGAAATGAAGTGTTCTGGAATCTTATGCTTCTTCCTCTGGAGCTGCCCTCAGTAGTTCAGTCAGGGAATATGATAATAGGAAATAATTGGGACTCAGCAAAATTTAGGAGTAAGAAAAATAGACCTTTTATTTGTTATTTGCCTTAAAATTAAAATGCTCTAAAATTAGGAAAAATGTTTCAATAATAAGAAACAAGAGAGGACATTATCAGAAGAAAAGAAATCAGAAGACTACTCATATTGCCACTGTTTTTGTGAGATGAGGTGAACATTTTAAGAAGAAAACACACACACACACACACACACACACACACACACACACACACACACACATTCTGCCTTTCTTTAAGGCTAACTAGGGTTCTTAAGAAATTATTTCATCAACACATTAGTTTCTAACCAACCCCGTCCTTCTGAAGGGAGTTACTCATCAAAACATTTCATCAGCAGCTAATCAAGACAGCTAATGGCCCATATATGTATATACTTCATTACCTGCAGTAACTTAAATGAATCTTATATGACTGGCAGCTGTCAACTCTTACTCAGCTCATGAGTAAAGAACAAAAATGAGAAACTGAAGGTTAAACACAGCAGCTCAGTATAGCAGTTTGTTTCCCAGGATATTTTAAATATTGCCTTTTCAAGAATTTGGAAGGGAATATTTAACTATAATATCTACTATAACTATAATTGTTCAGTTCCACATTTTCAACAATTTTAGTAGACTGTCGCTGTAGAATTAATTCCAGTGGACAGTGGTCTAAGTATATCTTTTAACTGGCTACAAAAGTTGACAGACCTATGTATTAGAGACAAGGTCAAATTTGAAAGACAATTGTTGCTAAGGAAACAAAGTCTTCAGGATACAAAGCTACAAGGCCTGGGTTTTAGCCCCTGGTCTGTCTGTGAGTACTGTGAGCTTAGAAAAGCCATTTAAGCCCTCGGTCTGTTCTCTTATTCAATTTAGTTCAATTTAATAAAAATGTATTAAGTTCAATAATCTTTACAATGTATAAGTTGGACTAAATAAGTTTTAAGGCCCATTCAAGCTTGGTGATTCTTCAACCAGCTATTAAATAAAGCCCATTAAACCTGAGCAAATGATTTACATTTAAAGAGATCTGCATCCTTTACCCAAGGTTCAGGACCCAATTTGCATTTGTCAGAGTATACTTCCTGTCTGAGGCAAACAATCCGATATACATGGGTATTTTTCTCATTTTCCATTGAGAAGATACCAGGATATGTTTAGCATAACACATTAAAACTTAGCTTTAAAACACAGTTTTTCACATAGGATACTATAAACGTTAATATATGCTATCAGATTAATGAATAAGAATAGGGAAAATATACATGCAGTAATAACTCATTTGAATCTTTAATGTTATTAATTTATTCATCCAACAGATATTATTGAGTTTTCAAAGTATTCTCAGACTGTGTTAGATTTAAGACAGAAAAATCAGTCCCCACATTTAAATTCTGAAATCCATTTTTTAAATGTTTTGTTTGTATGGACAAAGAGAAAGACACATTTAACTTCCTATAATTTTCCCAAAAAAGCATTGGGTCAAAAAACTATTTAAGTGTTGTCATGGTAAATACTTCACCTTAGGATTTGTTGTAACTTTTAGATGTCAATTTTTAACAGGCATGATGAAAATATTTTAGGCTAGTCAAACTGACAATCTACTACTCATAGAAGTAAGGAAAGGCAATGTTGTTTTATTTACATAGTCTCAATTGCCTTTCTTCTTTGTGCTTCTCAGCCATAATACAGTCAAAACAACATTGAACTGACATGGTGTTTGGAGTATAATCCTAAAGCTATTTTGGTTTTGCTACTTGTTACCTTTTAATTTTATTCAAGAGCCTAGATTTTAGATTTTTCCTACATGAACATTTGCAGAGGTTCTAAAACCCTACTGGATGCTTTCAGCCACAAAATAACACTGCAGGAATAAAATATCCCATCCATTATAACAGTGAGAACTGCAAACTCAATCACCAGATGATGGTATTTCTGCTGCCCCCAGCTCAGGCCTCCACAGATGGGAAGACTGCCACCAGAGAAAAACTTGTGGGTGACTTCCTTCTTGCCCCAGCCCCAGAGGTTTCTCTCCTCCAGCTGGTGTCTGCAATTTTGACCCCTTTGGGTTGGGACGCAGGGAAGAAGATGGCAGGAAAGGCATTACCTTAACAAAACCTCCCCTGCGCTGGTGTCACTGCTCACCATTGGGGTTGGCAGGTGTTTAAACATATTTGGTCCCTGAGATTTGTGAAATCTTTGGAGACTTCTGTGTGTTCACTCCTTACCTCGCTTCCACCCATCTGAGGGGTTTTCAAATCTAGTACCCTTGAAGATGTAAATGTCCTAGGAATCCAGTGACACTCCTAGCACTCTTAGCATCCCTCTGCCTGGTGGTCCTCTTTGACCCTTGGATTCTTATGGGGAAAAACATATGACCTTTGCTTCAGCAGTCTCTGAGAGTATAGTTACTTCACAAGCCTCTGCCTTCTCTATACCAACCCTTTATATATCTCTAGTAGGACTCAGTTACCAGTCCTCCATACATTCCTTTGGCTGGGAGGCACTGCAGAGGATCAGAGGATACAGGGGACACATTGGTGATTTCCTTAAAGCCCCTTTCTCCTAAATAAGAGATAAAGGGCAGATATTCTCTTTTGTTCACTTTGGGTTGGAAGAAATTTAAAATACTTCTCTCTCCTAAGAAAATGTCCCCCAAAATACTCAATTCATCAGCTCCAAATTCTTTTATCCCCTCCATGTGCATGAGGAGTCTCAGAACATCCAAGTCATTCATGTCAGTATTCAAAAACAATTTTTTTCAGTCTTGAGCTAGCACTGCCTTTAAAATATGCTTCACCTGAAACTTTCTATCAAGCATCTTCTTATGTAAATAACACTGAGGGATTTTACTCCCTACAGAAACTTGTTGACACAGAAATAAGTGTGTTTATTGACTGGTGTTTGAGAACTCATAAATATAACTCTTTGAAACACTGTAATATTTGCCAATATCTTATTATAACACTGCACATGGTTTATACTTTTGAAAAACTAAAATAGTTGGAGTATAATATCTCTGCAGAAGGCCTTTGAAACTTTGCGTCAAAATGCCCTAAATTAGACTTTTCATGTCACTATCAAAAACTATTAAATACTCTTATCATCACAGTATGAAGAGAGATTTTCATGTTTTGCATTTAACAAAATAAAGGATCAGAAATATTGTTGGTTATTTTAATACACATCAAGAAATCCAAGACCAGGAAGTACATCTTAAGGTATTCTGAACCTCTATTATCCACTATGATAGTCACTACCCAATTGAAGCTATACAAATTCAGATTTAAATTAATTAACTTATGTAGAATTAAATATTCCAGTTCTTAAGTGCATTAGCCATGGTTCAAGTGCCCAATAGTCATAACAGGTTAGAGACTACCATATAGAACAGTGCAAATATTTTTAAATTGCATCATTATAAAAATTTCTTTTGGACAACACTGCTCTAGAGAAAGATACCACAGTTAAACCCATATGCATGGAATCAGAGGAAGTAGGGAAATGTTTGAGAATTGCTTAGGATGAGACTTCTAAAGTAGCATTAACAGTTTGTCCAGGTAAATGACTAAATGCCTCTTCTGGTACAGCACAGCGTCCCATTTTGGTGATGTGGCTTAGGAAGGCTTCAAATCGGGCAGTTAGTACACAGCTGCTAAAATACAAATTTTCTGCTAAAATACAAATAAATTATCTAGATATAACTAGATCTAGACCTAACTGCCTCAGAGAAGCTGAAAGAGAATCTAAAAAGGGGCAAAGTAAAGACTTGACATGGTGCAAATTAAACTTACAGTTAAATATGTTTATCTTTGAAAGACAGTCACTTGATTTACAAGCATGAGGTTTTTCCATTTTCTTTTCCTATGTCCTTAAAATAGTTATGATTTGCATCCACAATCATTTATTAGGATGATGAGATCTGTTGTTACCGTGTGTAAGATGTCATTGGAACATTTCTAGAGAAAATTGTAACGCAATTCTCTTTTTAAGCTTTATTTGTGATTTGCTTTTTAAAATTGACTTCTTTTGTTTCAAAAGAGCAGGAAAGGTGAGATAAAACCTGGAGATAATAAAAAAATATATATCCTGTTTGTCTGTTTTCTGTACAAAACAAAAGGTTAGAGCTATTATTTTTTCTTCAAAATAAAGCAAATAACTCTTTGGTCATCTATAACAGGGCAGCACTATTTTGAACAGTTTGATGTCATTTCTACATCCCTCAAGGAAACAAAGGGGAAAGTCAGAGGAAAGGGAAAAGGCAGCTTTGATAAGTTATGCCAGTCACTGGTCCCTGAGAGTGAAGCATCCTGTTTTTATCATGTGGCTGAAAACCAGAGAGAAAAAAAATTTACTGTGATCAGTGGTATCCATTCTTTTGTTATTTCACAGCTACCGGACACAATTCTCTAAATAATCAAACTAAATGAGGACCTTTTTAGTGACAACTGTGAAACAATGGGTCAGACTGGGTAAAGGTCAGTGGAAAATAACAGTTTGAGGTGGAGAAAGAATAGTGACAAGCCAGAGAAATCTCGTGGTATGAATAACATCCAGAGTCAGGAGTGACTGTTGTCACTAGATTTTATGACTGTCCTATCAATGCCATCAATTAATACTTCCAATTATTGTTAAAGTCAGTGGGCTATACTACACATAAAAAGTAATAGAAAATGTGATGCTCATAAAAGTGAAGAAGTCTTTCTAAACAAAAAATGCCTTTTAAATTAACTTTTTGTCGTTCCTAGGATTGCCATATCCATTAATCATTCAATCATTTAAAAGGGCTTCTAGCAAAATGACCTCAGGGATTGCTACCATTTGGAATTCATATCCATTCAGTCGTCTTATCTCTGGGTGTCCAGGTGCATTCCTATAGCATTTATCAACGTAGCATCTATGGGATGTCACCTCAGCACAAGTACATGTGCAGCAATTATAGAAGAAACACCTCTTCACCCTTCTTTATATCAGACTGTCTTTCTAGTACAACCTCCATGCTGGGGCAGAAAGAGACCTCTGTCTCTAGGCCTTGGTATCTTTAGCAAAAATATTTGAGGAAAAATCTTAACTTCTTTTTGTAACAAATATAATGCTTTAGTTAATATAAGATTACTCAATATGAAACTATCTAGTAACTAGCTTGCTTGCATTCCTAGTATCTTTGTAAGGACTTGGAAAAAATATTAAAAAGAAAATTCAGCCAATCACCTGGATGTTTGTTTTACTTGCTGCCAAACATCTGGATATTTACATATATCATGATGATAATATCCTTCAGTGATTTTTACATGAATTGTGTAGATACAGCCTTAGATTGGGGGCAAGATCAGTTGAAATGATTTGACAGAGCTATTTATACAATTAAGCCTTTACTAAAAGGGAATGTGAGTTAAGCTTCTGCCATTTAGAGCGTTATTATGATTTATATGGAATTGGCTTAATATTTTAGAATTTCTGCATATTTTTCCCTCCATGATAGCTTGAAGCCTCCTAGTGAATTAAAAATATTCAAGCACTTAGAGTCCCAATGGATTGCCACTGGGAGTGAACAGAAGGTTTCTCTCCCTCCCCCGCCTTTTCCTGTTTTCAAGTTGCAGGGCCAGATATATGGTTGTGAGACAACACAGAAGCAGTGTCAAGAAAACCATTTTGCTCAAGGGACCTGGCAGCTGAACTCTCCCCAAATGCTTTTAGAAAGAAAAAATATATATATTAAATGCCAATTTAAAACAAATCCAAAGATTTGTGGAGCCCTTGTTCACCTTATGATGCTGCTGTAGATATGAATGTACACCAAATGAGGTAACAGATTAAGAAAAGTCAATGCTTAAATTCTCTGGAGTTTTCTAACAAGAGATCTGGGCAGTATAAAAGCATATCAGGTTTCTCAGAGATTATTAACTCTGGACTGCATTTCAAAGTATATCAAGTGCTGTCTGCTTTATACCAAACGGAAGGGAATACACTACCAGACTCAGCAGACAGAATTAATAAGAACTGTAATAAATCAAATTAAGAAATATTTATTGAACATCTCTGTGTCTCCAGCATTAAACTGTTAGGTATGGGATGTATATGAAATATAAATGAAAAGATCTGTG
This sequence comes from Homo sapiens, assembly GCF_000001405.40. Classification (NCBI taxonomy): domain Eukaryota; kingdom Metazoa; phylum Chordata; class Mammalia; order Primates; family Hominidae; genus Homo; species Homo sapiens. The sequence continues at coordinate 22,927,343 of NC_000006.12, forward strand.
GTCTCAGGAAAGCTTAAATGAATTTGAGCAGATAAGACAACTGCATAGAAAAGAAATAATAATGCAGAATTCAAACAGCAATTCAGAAGGAATATCTCAAGAAAATACCATAAATGATAAAAATAGCTCTAACAGGAACATAAAAGACCACACCACTTAAAATTTTAAGTTGAAAAGATAGCTTCATGAAAATTTTGCTGTAGAGAATAATGTTGGGCCTCAAAATATAGATATTTACACTTCTCCAGAGACACCAGGCTTTGACTGAGTCCTGTATTTGTTCCCAATTAAATGTCATGTTTATAAACAGAGTAAATAACCAAAATGCTCACAGCCAATGATGTGCATGAAATGAAGTTATAAGGAAATGATTATATAAAAATATATAATAGTGAAGTCATTGAATCATGATGTAGGATAAAATGGCTCCTTGCCCTTAAAAACATCATATGACACAGTAACTAAACGTTGTTTATTATTGTTATTACTATTGTTATATTTTTGTAGAGACAGGGTCTCACTATGTTGCCCAGGCTGGTCTTGAACTCCTGGGCTCAAACGATCCTCCCTCCTCGGCCTCTCACAATGGTGGGATTACAGGCTTGAGCCACCAAGCCCGGTCTAAAGGTTCTATCTAAGTTGCTGGGCTAACCCCAATTATCTACCAAATCTGGTAACCCCACAATAAGTCTAATCTCTGAAAGGGTTCCTTGCATAGCGCTTTCCTCTCATTTCCTTCTTTTTGCACTGCTAACTATGCTCAATAAGAAAATCAAAATCCAAACTTGTTTTTTGATCTAAGATAAATCACGTGTGTCCCCATTCTCTTTGACCTGAAGGCGCCTGAACAAGCCCTGATGTAAATGACCTAGCTATGGGATGCATTCAGATATTGCTGTTACATCATCACAATGTAACAGAGAGTTGCAACACGATGTGACAAACAGTTTAGAGAAAGAACAATAATAAATAACCATGACACTCAGTATAAAATGGGCAAATGAAATATTTTTAATATTGTAGTGTTTTAAATATTAACCGCTTATTTTAAATGAAGAATCTTAGATTAAATTATCTAAAACAGAGAAAGAGATAAGAAGGCCAAACCGCTTATTTGAACGAAAAGGGGATATATAATTATTTTGTTACAGGTTTTGGTACTTTGATGTAATTCTAAGAACGGTGGGAAATCTTTAAGTGCTGATCTCAAGTAGAACTAAAAAGAGCATGTCTCTGCTAAAAACAGAACTGAAAGAGATCCCAAAGCAAAATAGAAGAAAATGTAAAAAGTGAAGAAATGAAAATGAATGCATATAACAAGATGACAAAATTAAAATCAAACAGTATATCCATAAGGGACTGGCAAGAGACAGGTGAGATTGGGTAATTCAACAAAAGTGCTACTTAAAATGTATGTGCAGTTTTATGGACATCACTAAGGTACATTCAGTATCCTGAAGCTAGGATTAGAAAACTTTCTGAGCTATAAACCTGAAGGGCAAAAGGAGGAAACAGTTATCAGGACTGGGAAAGTGTGCCTGGAGAGACAGTCTTCGGCCTGGCTGTGGCATTTGGGAAAGAGACAGGGCAATCACAGAGACCCAGCAGGAAGGAATGAGGATAATAACCCCTTGGCCTCATTCTCTTCCTTTTCTGCCATCTCCTGCCAGAGCCTACCATTGACCAACTAAACAGAAGGCAAGGAGTCACTGATGCAGTCCCTGTAATTCAGCCTAGTAGAGCACAGAGTGGTAGAAATGGAGAGGGGATTTCTAGAAGAGCAAGAAAGAAGACATCCAATACACACAACGATGACATAAACAGTCATAATTGAGCATAATGTTCTTTAAAAAAAAGTGATCTCCAACTGAGTTTTTAAAAATAGCTCGATTGAGATATAATTCACGTATCCATAAAATTCACACTGTTAAAGCATACAATTCCATGCTTCACCGTACATTCAGTTTTACAATCGCCACTGTCTAACATTAAACATTTTCATCACCCCAACACGGAATCCTGTGCCTGTTAGCAGTCACTGCCCACTTCCTCCTTCCCCCAGCCTGGCAAACACTAATCTACTTTCTTCCTCTATGTACTTGCCTGCCTGTTCTGGGCATATTGTTCACATGACATCATACAATATGTGATACTTTTGTGTCTGGCTTTTTCACTTGGCATAATATTTTCAAGCTTCATCCCTGTTTTACTTCCTTCATTCTTTTTTATGGCTGAGTAACATCATTTCATTGAAGAGTATACCACATTTTGTTTTCCTATTCTTCAGTGGATGGAAATTTAGCTGTTTCTCCTTTTTTGGCTATTATGAATAATGCTGCTATGGACATTCATGTACAAGTTTTGTGTGTGTATTCAATGCTCTTTTATAAATAACCTGGAGTGGAGCTGCTGGCTCATGTAGCATCATAATATTTAACATTTTGAGGAACGACCAGTTTTCCAAGGAGCTATATGGTTTTACAGTCCCACTAGCAATGCATAAGCGTTCCAATTTCTCCATATCCTTGCCAACACTTATTTAATATTTTTATCTGTCATTTTTTTTTTACTTTAGTCTTCTTAGTGAGTTTGAAGAGATTATCTCATGTGGTCTTGATGTGTTTTTTTCTAATGAATGTAACTGTTGTGTATCTTTTCATGTGTTTATTGACTATATGTGCATATTTGTACATATATACTTGGATCATGTCTGTCCAAATTCTTTGCTCTTTTAAAAATTAGGCTTTTTTACTGTGTTGTAAGAGTTTACATATATATATATATTCTGGATATAAGTTTCTTGTAAGATACATGATATATATGTGTGTGTGTGTGTATACATATATACACACGTATATATATGTATATACATATATACACACACGTATATATATGTATATACATATATACACACACGTATATATATGTATATACATATATACACACGTATATATATGTATATACATATATACACACGTATATATATGTATATACATATATACACACGTATATATATGTATATACATATATACACACGTATATATATGTATATACATATATACACACGTATATATATGTATATACATATATACACACGTATATATATGTATATACATATATACACACGTATATATATGTATATACATATATACACACGTATATATATGTATATACATATATACACACGTATATACGTGTGTATATATGTATCCTGGATATAAGTTTCTTATAAGATACATGATTTTTAAATATTTCCTCCCATTCTTGCTTCCTTAATAGTGTCCTTTGATGTGTAAATGTTTTTAATCTGGATAAAATTTAACTTACCTAACTCTTTCTTTTGTAGCGTGTGCTTTAGATGGCCTATTTAAGTCTAGTAATGCCTATTCAATAATGTATTCCTATATTTTCTTCAAAGAACTGCATATTTTTATGTCTTTAATTTTGGTTTATGATCCAATTTGAGTTAATTTATATATACAGTGCGGAACATGAGTCCAACTTCTATTTTTTTTTTTTTTTTTGAGACAGGGTCTCATTTTGCCACCGAGGCTGGTGTGCAGTGGCACAACCATAGCTCACGGCAGCCTCCACTTCCTGCACTTAGGTGATTTTCTACCTCAGCCTCCCGAGTAGCTGGGACTGCAGGTGTGTGCCACCATGCCTGGCTAATTTTTGTATTTTTCTGTAGAGACAGGGTTTCCCCATGTTGCCTAGGCTGGTCTCAAACTCCTGGACTCAAGCAATCCACCAGGCTCAGCCTCCCAAAGTGCTGGGAGTACAGCTGTGAGCCACCACGCCCAGCCTCAACTTCTGTATTTTTACATGTGGATATCCAGGTATTTCAGCATCATCTGTTCAGAAGACTATTCTTTCTCACTTGGATTCTTCTGGATTCTTCTGTCATTCTTGTAAAAAATAAATAATTTCTGACCTTTCCATTTTTTTCCATTGATTTGTATATCTAACCATATGTCAGTACCACATTTTATTGATTACTGTAGCTATGTAGTAAGTTTTGAAATCAAGAAGTGTGACTCTTCCAACTTTTTTTTTTTAAAAAAGGATAGCTTAGCTATTTTGGGGTTTCTTGTCTTTCCATGTACATTTTAGCATCAGTTTGTCAGTTTATTTAAAAAATAAAAATAAAAAAAGCCCAGCTGGGATTTTGGTAGAGATTGCAATTAGCCTGTAGATAAGTTTGGGGAGTCTGTCATTTTAGAAATAATAAGTCTGCCAGTCTACGAGCATGGGATGTGTTTCCATTTCTTTCTTTCTTTTTAATTTTTTTAATGCTGTTTACTGGCTGTCATTATATAAGCCTTACACTTCTTCAGTAAGCTTTATTTCTTAAGTATTTCACTATTTGTTGTGCTCTTGGAAACACAATTATTTTTAAAATTTTATTTTTGGATTGTTCATTGTTATCTGTAGAAATCTAATTAATTTTTATATATTGATCTCATATCCTGAATATTTGCTGAATTCATTTATTAGTTCAATAGTTTTTTTTTTTTAGTAAATTCCTTAGGATTTCTACATACAGTATCATGCCATCTGCAAATTAAGATAGTTTCACTTATTTTTTTTTTCAATCTGAATGGTTTTTATTTTTTTCTTGTCAAATTTTTCTGGCAATTTGCTATGGCAGCAATACAAACTTATAGAGTTGTATCTCATAAGTTTGATACGTCATGTTTTCACTTTCATTTGTTTCAAATATTTTCTAATGTCTTGTGATTTCTTCTTAGTTCCTTGATTTTTTTGGAATGTGTTAATTTCCACAAATATTTGAAATCCCCAAATTTTCCTCCGGTTTATTTTCTTCTATTTATTTGTAATTTTATTTCATTGTGATTAGAGAACACACTTTGTGTGATGTCAAAGTTTTTACATTTATTAAGCCTTGTTTTATGGCCAAACATGTGGGACATCTTAGAAAATACTCCATGTGCACTTGAGCAGAATGTGTATTGTGGTGTTGGGTGGAGTGTTCTATACATACCTGTTAGACCTAGTTGGTTTACAGTTTTGTTCGGGTCTTTTATTTTCTTGTTCATCTTGTGCCTGTTTGTTCTATTCATGATTGAAAGCTGGGTATTAAAATCTCCAAGTATTTCAATAACTCAAACTATTGTCATTGACTCAGATATTTTACATTTCAATTCTTCATCTATTAAGTTTTTGCTTTATATATTTTGCAGCTCTATTGTTAGATGAATATATATATAATTATGTCTTTCTGATGGATTCACGCTTGTATTATGTTAGACATCTATTTTTCACAAGAAGCAACTTTGTCTTAAATTCTATTTTTTCTGATATTAGTAGAATCACTTCAGTTCTCTTTTTGGTACATTTTATATAACATATCTTTTTTCTTGATTTTACTTTCAGCCAACTTATTTGTGTGTTTGAATCTAAAGTATGTTCTGTGGATGCCGTATTATTTCTAACTTTTAATTGTAGTGTTTGATCTATATGTATTTTATGCAATTACTGATTTAAAGTTGCCATTTTTTCACTAGTTTCTTACATCTTTTGTTTTTCTATTCCTCCTTTGCTGCCTTCCTTTATGTTAAATAGATATTTTCTAGCCTACCATTGTAATTTTCTTATTGTTTCTTTTACTTTTTTAAAAGTTATTTTCTACTGGTTGCTTTGGGGATTAAAACTAAAATTTTAATTTAAATAATGTGGTTCAAATAAATATTAACTTAATTTTAATATAATTCAAAAACTTTATAACAATATAAAACCATTTATTTTTCATTTCTTTGTGACGCTATCATCATACAAATCATATTTTTATATGTTATAAGCCTATCAATACATTTTCATCATTATTTTATTCAGTTGTGTCTTAAAGAAAAAAGAAAAATACATTTATGCATTTTTACAAAATACATAAATACATTTTTACAAAATACATAAATACATTTTATAAACAAAAATATATTTATGTTGCTTTTTATATTTATCTATGCAGCTACCTTTACTGGTCCTCTTTATTTCTTTGTGTAGATTTGAGGTACTCTTCAATGTCACTTCATTTCAACCTGTTGGACTCCCTTTAGTATTTCTTATAGGGCAGTCTGAGAGGGGCAGATCGTCTCCATTTTTGTTTGTCTGGGAATGTCTTAATTCTTCCCTCGGTTTTGAAGGCTATTTATTCTGGATGTAGCATTTGCTGCTGATGGTGTTTTCCTTTTAGGACTTTGAATATAACACCCCATTGCCTTCCGGCCTCCACGGTTTCTGAGACTCTTATTGAGATTCCTTTATATCCTACGAGTCACTTTGTCTTTTTTCTTTCTACTCCAATATTTCTCTGTTTTTCTTTGGTCTTTAAGAGTTTAGCTATAATGAGTCTAGGTATAGATTTCTTTGAGTTTATCTTGCTTAGATTTTATTTAACTTTTTGAAATGTGCAGAGCAATGTTTTTCAAATTTTGTAGTTTTTGGTTTTTATTTCATCAAATATTCTCTGCTCCTTTCTCTCCACTCCTTCTGGGAATCCCATTTTGCACATGCCATTGGCCCTTGAACACCAGGGGTTTGAACTGCACAGGTCTAGTTATATATGGATTTTCTTCTGCCTTTACCTCCCCTGAGACAGCAAGACCAACTTTTCAACAATATAAAATCATTTCCTTTCCATTCTTTCTGGCATTATTGTCATACAAATTATATTTTTATACATTACTAACTTCCTTGTGTTAAACAGATATTTTCTAACTTACCACTGTAATTCCCTTATTGTTTTTATTACTATTTTTAAAAGTTATTTTCTATTTTCCCTTCTTTTCCTCAGCCTATCCAATGTAAAGATGATGAAGATGAAGACCTTTATGATAGTCTACTTCCATATAATGAACAATAAATATATTTCTCTTCCTTATAATTCTCAATATTTTCTTTTCTTTAGCTTACTTTATTGTAAGAATACAGTATATAATATATATAACAAACAAAATATGTGTTAATTGGCTGTTTATGTTATTGGTAAGGCTTCCAGTCAACAGTAAGCTATTACTAGTCAAGTTTTGTGGGAGTTAAAAGTTATGCACAGACTTCTTACTGTGTTAGAAGGATCAGTGCCCCTAACTCCCATGTTGTTCAAGGGTCAATTGTATTGGTACACTTGATGGTATCACATGCGTCTCTGAGGTTCTATTTATTTTTCTTCATTATTTTGTTTTTCTGCTCCTCAGTCTGAATAATCCCAGTTGACTTACCTTCATTAAAAATAAATTATTTAATATTCTGCCAGTTCAAATCTGCTGTTGAACCCTGAGGTGAATTTTTTATTTCAGAAATTTTATTGTTTTAAAATTTCTATTTCTTTACTGATATTCTTTACTTGGTAAGAGGTTTTTCTTATGATTACCTTTAACTCTTCTTTCTTTCATTCTTTCTCTTTCTTTCTTTCGTTTTGTGAACCTACAATAGCTGATTTAAAAGCTTTGTCTAGTAAGTTTTATCTCTAGTTTTCCTTAGAAAGTTTCTATTGACAGCTTTGTTTTTTTCCTATGTAGTATCCACACTTTCCTGTTTTTTCATGTGTTTCGTAATTTTTTAATTGCATCTTAAGTATTTTGACTAAAATACAATGGAGTAAATGTGGAAATCAATGCTCCCCTCATTCAGTTTATAAACAACTTTAATTGAAACACAAAATAAACTAAAAATAAACTATGAGCAAAGAACTATCAGTTATAACTAACCCTAAGGAAAGCAGAAATGACAACATTATTGTTTGACACAGGAAAAACTAAGGTGACTCAAGATAAAATTAATAAATGGAAAAAAGTATATTTCACATTTGTAAAATGTACTCTCTCATCGATACTTAATACTTATCATGCATTGTGTAATAAATAATGTATTATCAGTTTTCTGTTGCATAAAGAAACAAGGAAAGCCCAACAGCACTGGGTGACAATGACAGCAGTTTAGAAAGAAAGGAATATGGAAGATTTGAAAACATAATTTAAATTGTTGAGTTATTACAAATGTTTTAAGATTTATAACCTAAAAATACAGAATTATATCTCCTTTCCAAGTAACCACCAAACATTTAAAACATTGATTGAATGATGCTACAACCTCAATAAATTTCTCATAGCAGGTATTTAGGTGTATAATCTCTGGTTACAATAAGACACACTTATTAATTAACAGAATAATTTTAAAACTAATTAACTGTAAGTTAAATATATTATTCCCACTCTTTAGTTATTATGGAAGATAGGAAATAAAATACCAGTATTGACCATTTAGGGAAACCAACATTGAAATTCCTACATGTTATTATTCAAGGTGTCCATTTTAATAAGCCATAAAGTTTGATGCACTGAATTGTTATAATATGCCTCATTTGTGCTAAACTTTCTAAATAGAATATTTCCTCCATTTCCCTGATGTGGACTCTGAAGATTGGAAAAATGAGTATCTCTGAAGAGTCAACTGTGTATGGAAAGTAAATTCATTATCTTAAATCCATTCATTATTTAAGAAAAAGTCATGAAAGTGAATAAACAAACCACATGAAAATAACACATATCTAATTCAAAAGGTGGGAAAAAGAGGAACAAGTTCAAGGCAAGCAGGAGAAAGGACACTAAGGATTTAACAGTAAATTTTTGATCAGAATAGCATTTTAAATTTATGCTTTCAGACCCTCGTGTAAAAAACAAACACGAACCACATAAAAATAACACATATGTAACTCAAAAGGTTGGAAAAAGAGAAGCAAGTTCAAGGCAAGCAGGAGAAAGGAAACTAAGGATTTAAAAAGTAAATTTTTGATCAGAATAGCATTTTAAATTTATGCTTTCAGACCCTCGTGTAAAAAACAAACAAATGAAAAGCTCAAAAGCTCCCCAAAAGCAAAAATAGAAAAACAATGGAAAACCAAACAAGAAACCAAACCCTTTCTAAAAATACCATAGTAGCAAGTAAAATATAAAAATTAAAAAAAACCCCAAAGACATGAATGAATGCCAAAAACAATTTAAAAAGAATTTTTCTTTGTAATCTTAAGACTGTCATTTTCTTATTACAGTGCATTAGCCAGGACTTCTAAAACAATATTAAAGAATAGAGGGCATAGTACAGTCAGCATTATTGTCTCAATCCTGACTTTAAGGCAAACATTTCTAACGTCTCACCATTAAGTGCATTGTTGCAGTGCCTTTTTGTTCAATGCCCTTATCGGATTGGACATATTTTCTTATATGCGTCGCTTCTGCTACCTTGTCCTCTCATTCCTTTGACGCAACAAACCTCTACCATCTCAGGGTTTTCATATACATATTTCTAGATTGCTTTTGCCCTCACTTTTCAGCAGAATGGTCCTCAAGATTACTTCTTCCCCCTGGAACAGATTTCTCATACATTCCCATGGTACTCTTATCTTTCCCTCAGCGCTCTCATCACCATTTTAATCAGGGGAGACTACTTATGTGTTGCCTTTTTTACCCTGTAAGCTCCATGAGTGCAGGACTACGTCTGATTGGCTTTAGTTCCAACAATCAGTTAGGATATCCCTGGCTCATGATGCATGCTTGATATGGGCTTGGTGAATAAATGAAGTAATATTTACAATAAAACAGTGCCTAGCAACTGCTTTTTTGAAATACAATTCATAGTTTCTTCTTCCACGCCATGACCTTTATAGTAGCCTCAGATTCCAAGTTTCTAATTTTTTTTGTTTACCTGATTTCTCCAATCAACCTATTTATTTATTTACTTATTTATTTTTGAGATGAAGTCTTGCTCTGTTGCCCAGGCTGGAGTTCAGTGGCATGATCTAGGCTCACTGCAACTTCTTCCTCCCAGGTTCAAGCGATTCTCCCTCTTCAGCCTCCTGAGTAGCTGGGATTACAGGCCTGTGTCATCAATTTTTGTATTTTTAGTAGAGATGGGGTTTCACCATGTTGACCAGGCTGGTGTCAAATTCCTGACCTCAGGTGATCTGCCCACCTTGGCCTCCCAAAGTGTTGGGATTACAGGCATAAGCCACCACGCCCAGCCAATTAACCTATTTAAAATAGCACTTCCCTCACTATCTGATTCTCATCCTTTGCTTTATTTTCCTTAATCAATAATCAAAACAGAATACATTTACTTTTTTATGTTCATTGCCCACAACTAGAATGTAAGCACCGTAAGAGCAGGGACTTGTTCTGTTTTCTTCATCACGATATTTCACCAACACCTAAAACAACACCTTGCAGGATCTCAATAAATATTGTTTAAATTAATCATGAAAAATCTAAATGGATTTCTAATGTATCAGATTCTAAAACTGTTATGTAATAAAAATTGTTAATGTCTGATTATCCATCATTGTTGGGATTTCTATTGTTATGATATCTTTCTAATTTGGCCTTGAGGTCTCTATCTTGAGACCATAAGCTCTTGTCCTGCCCTGACCAGAAATTCAAGGGATTCAACCATGGTATTTACAGTGTACTTTTCATTGGATACTTCTTTATCATGGCAGATGGCCTAATGCTTAAGTGTACAGATCCGTGACCAGGTGTCCCTCTCATAGGATCTTATTTATACTGGCTGATACCCTAGTGGCTCTTGTGTGACTTGTGTCCAGTTTATTCCTACCAAGACAACTACTTTCTAAGAGAAAGCACTGCCCAGACAGAAGGGCATGTTCAGCTGTGTGTGTGTCAAGTGAGACACGGCAAGCGAGTGAAACCAAAGTACATGAACCAGAAGAAATGTGTTACTCATAGGTCCAAGAGAGGTCAGGAGTGCCAATGGGAGGCCTATGTAAAATCTAGAGGTGGCAGGGAACTCAGCCAGCAGGTGGAGTGGGAGGGAGAGGGGGGACCTGTGCAATTCTGCCTTTATTAAGGTGCATGGGCAATATCCCTTAGGTTCTCTAGCAGGAATTGTTTTTGGTTACTGTATTAGTCTGTTCTCACATTGCTAAAAAGAAATAACTGAGACTGGGTAATTTATAAAGAAGAGAGGTTTAATTAGCCTATTGTTCTTCATGCTTTATAGGAAGCATAGTAGCATCTGCTCAGCGTCTGGGGACACCTCAGGAAACTTACCATCATGGCAGAAGGTGAAGGGGGAGCCAGCACCTCATATGACTGGAGCAGGAAAAAGAGAGAGAGGCCAGAGGTGCTACACACTTTTAAACAACCAGATCTCGTGGAAACCCACTCACTATCAAAAGAATAGCACCAAGGGGATGGCGTTAGACCATTCACTGAGGATCCACCCCCATGATCTAATCACCTCCTACCAGGCCTCACCTCCAACATTAGGGATTACAATTCGACATGAGATTTAGTGGGGACGCAGTTTCAAACTTTATCAGTTAGTTTAAAAAAAAAAACTTGCTAAGGGGCCCAGCACGGTGGCTCACACCTGTAATCCCAGCGCTTTGGGAGGCTGAGGCAGGCGGATCACCTGAGGTCGAGAGTTGGAGACCAGCCTGGCCAGCATGGAGAAACCCCGTCTCAACTAAAAATATAAAAATTAGCTGGGCTTGGTGGCGCATGACTGTAATCCCAGCTACTTGGGAGGCTGAGGCAGGAGGATCGCTTAAACCCGGGAGGCGGAGATTGCGGTGAGATGAGATCTCGCCATTGCACTCCAGCCTAGGCGACAAGAGCGAAACTCGGTCTCAAAAAATAAATAAATAGGGGCCAGGCGCGGTGGCTCTCGCCTGTAATCCCAGCACTTTGGGAGGCCAAGGTGGGCGGATCATGAGGTCAGGAGATCGAGACCATCCTGGCTAACATGGTGAAACTCTGTCTCTACTAAAAACACAAAAACAAAATTAGCCAGGCGTGGTGGCGGGCGCCTATAGTCCCAGCTACTCAGGAGGCTGAGGCAGGAGAACGGTGTGAACCTGGGAGGCGGGGCTTGCAGCGAGCCGAAATCGCGCCATTGCACTCCAGCCTGACGACAGAGCAAGACTCTGTCTTAAAAATAAATAAATAAATAAATAAATAAATAAATAAATAAATAAAAATAATAAAATAAAATAAATAAAAGAAAAAGAAAAAACCTTGCTAAGAGAGAAAGGAAAATTTATTTACATGGTATTGGTGTTGACCATTAGGTTTCATTATAGTCAACAACTGTGGAGTGTTGTGTTGTGGGTCAGTAAGATGCAGAAACAAGAGAGTGTATCTCAAACAACTGTGTGGGGAGGGAGGCTTTAAGCCAGAGGTGACAGGGTACAAATGTGTTTTCAACAACTTATGTTGGCCCCAAAAATGGTTGCCGAGGCAACAACTTCATTGAATAAATTTATGACACCAATATTCTTTCTTTCCCTGACTGTAGGAAGAAGGAATCTTGGTGGTTATATCACCCCCAAATTCTCCTTATTTGTAATATTCTAGTTAAAGAAAGGTGAGAAAAAAATTTAAAGTCATTGAGGCCTAGTTGATGTACATTAGAACAGGCTGAACAAGAAGAGAAAAAAAGGAGAAAGAAAGATGGCAGATACAAGCTACCGGTGAGAACTTTTTGCATTGGGATTTGATGGTAAGTAAATAAAAGAATTTCAGAATTTTAGGGGAACACCTTTTGGGGAGACATTAATGAACAGATATATTGTTCTGTGCATTAGTACTGCTTGTACTTGTACTAGAACTGCATTTATCCTGTATTATTTTCTTGAGATCCTAACTAAAGATTTGATGTTTTTATTGCTAATTTTTATTTGCAGGGTGTATTCCTTCAAAAGCAAGCCAACAGTACTCCATGTACCTCCAGTCATACTTGGGTAGATAATGAGGCCTTACTACTGGGATAGTGAACTTAAAATAAAGTTTTCAGTTTTACTTCTAATTCAAATTATTACACTAGACTTGAGCCAAAAATATTTTTATCAGACTTTCAGATTTTTGACAAAATAAAGAAAAAGGAGTACATGGGGTCGACAAACTTCTTGCACTGTGAAAGTACTAAAACAAAACAAAACTAAAAGTACATGATTGCACATACACACATGTGCATACATTCACACATTAAAAAGAAAGAAAAACAAATGATATAATGGAGTTTACACTGAGGTCAAAATACTGTACAAGGGAGAATGTGCTGTTGGGGACTGTATGTTCCAGAGAAGGAACAGACACTATGAAGCTATATATATTTTCACCAGATAGAAGAAGTCTTAAAAATCTCCTTCCTGTATTTGCTGCCTAAGAGTGTTTAACTCAATCTCCATGGAGCCTCTGTTTTTTAAGGAGTTAGAGTCACTCCTGGACATGTAGAGAAGATTGATGGTAGCCAATGTTGGGTTAATTCAAAGTTCCTGGTTCTGCAAGCGAAACTGGATCCCTAGGGACTTGGAAATTGCTGTAGGATTTTCAAATAAACAGGGTTTGGAAGCACTGATAAAAGTTAATTGCTAACAGAAACTTCAGAAACTGGCAGAAGGAACCATGCCAATGATTGGTGAAAATATTTGATATAGTAAGATTTTTAATGACAAAGAATGAAAAGCCTCAAGGGTTGGAATGTTTTATTGACTCACGTATTCTGCAGAGACTGAACTAAGGCTTTATCAGTCATCTTTATGGCTCCTTCTGTGCTGGGCTCTCTTAAGCTTTAGAGAAGTATGAGGACCAATCAATTGTTGAATTTAAGATTATTCTTCAATAAAGAAGACAAATATTTTCCATGTTTACATTAGATTACAGGTTCCACTGAAGTGATTTGCCATGGACCAGTGAAGTCGAACTCAAAGATTCTTAGAGAGTTGGGCAAGACTCGTGAAAAGAGTGATCTTTGGGCCATATTGACTAAACATTCTTGAATTTCGTAACAGAACCCAAGGGATAACTTGAATATCCACTGTTAGCTGAATTCACGAGGGCATAGGAGGAAAAAGGGGTCACTTTAACTGCCCCCTGGAAGTTGTATTGAGTAAAGACATTTCATTGTCATTTACTGAGGTTGACTTTAGAGTTAGAAGTTAAGTAGGCGACTGCCAAGTGCCACAGTTGGACTCCTGAGTGAGTCAGGTGCTGTTGGACAGAGATTAGGTCAGTTTGTCAATACTAATTAAAATATTCCTCAGACCTAGCCAGGGACACACCATGGGGATTATGCCACTTAATTTACCTAGTATGACGGAGTGAATCATGATTATTTTAAGTATATTTAGAAATTAAATGCAACCAAATTAGTGATGGATTGGTTGTAGACAATGAGGAAGATGCTATGTTTTTAATAGTGGTGGGCAGATATGGTAGGGTCATATTCCAAAATGGAGACAAAAGGAGGAAGAAAAGTTTTAGCAAGAAAAGGTCATTAGTGCAATTTCAGATTGACTGTATTTTAGCAATCATTTAACCCAACTTGTTCTTTATTATCAAGAAATAATTGAAGCCTCCAAATCTCAAGTAATCCATGGAATTAGCAGAAAAGCCAATCTTAGAACCCAGACTTACTAAACCTTAAGTCCCAAGATAATACTTTTCAGAAGTGAAATTACTGGGATCATGACTGGATGATCCAAACAGCAAATTAAGATTCACAAAATAACCTAAGGACTAAAGAAAAGGGTGGCAGGCTGGAGGTATGTTTGCCTCATTATCAGTGAGTATGAAGAACTAATCAAGAACTTAGTAGAAAGTGGAAAGAGAATTGATGCTAGCTGGTGGCATCTGTGGTTAGATATTCTGAACCTCAAATTATATAACTTTATATCAGTTTTCTATAGAAATGACAATGTATAGTTCACAAGGCCATTCATACATAATGGTTTTGCTCATTGCACCTTGTGGGATAATATTCCTTGTGCAATAATACAAAGTCAAGCTGGGAAAAGTAGCCTTTGATATTAGCCATCAAAATTTTCCCATGATTACAGGAATGCTGAGTGCTACCAGTTACTACCTTCAGCTCCTAGGAAAGCAAACAGTGGTGAATAGAAATACACCACAATATAGAAAAACAGAAGAATGAGGGCCAATAGTGAAGCCAATGTTGCATTACTGATGGAAATTTCTAGTACTGCCTGGATAAACCTGCTTCTCTATTTGAACTCTCTGATTTGTCCCATACTTACTACTCCTTTCCAAAAAGAATTTCTTTACTTTGATTTAAAAACCATGTGCTCAAGGCACTCGTGAAGACCTCTGAGCCAACAGAATATGGATTTGTTCTTTTTGCTCGTTTAATTATGTGCCATGTAACCAATATAAATGTAGCATACAAACCACACCACATTCATGGACCTGATTGCTTCTGGAAGCCAGTGGCTACATCTTCATAATATATTTGTGGTTGTCAGTAGGCAGAGGTTATATTTACTCCAAGGAACATAAGACAGAAATGCAAAGTAAATGAATTCTGACCTCATAAGTTCAGAATGCATAAAATCAGAAATAGATATAAAACCTTTTGTTTCTTGGTTTAATATTTTGGCACTATTTTTCCTTTAACTTTTTATACATCTGCAGCATTTGCTATGATCTAGATTACTTGGAAAAGATGAGTCTAGAAGTGACTGTCTTCTTTTAAAGTCTGCTGAATATAGTCCTATGTGGATAGTAGAAACAATAAAATAAAGTGTTCTCTTAAGGAGGTGGAAGCCTACATATGGAGAGATTTAATAGAAATTAGTCCCAGTACTGCAAAATCAGTAGTGCATATAATGTCTCATGCTTTTAATACTTATATGTTGGACATTTTAGTGTGATTTACAGAAAACTGCTACTGTCAACAAAGCGTAGAAAATGAAGAAAAGATTGCTATAGTATAAAATAATATGTCAAAAATAAAGCTGTCAATATACCTCAATCCCCCTTTATAGTATGGTATTATATAGTACTTGCCCATATATGGACTAAAAGCACTGTGGCTTTACACGTGGAGACTCAAAAGAGACTTTAATGGTGATTAATGCTAATTCTAAATATATAGATATATATATATTCTTGATGAATGCAAAATCTACTTAATAAGATGATTTAAAATGTTCAAAAGAGTCTTATACAAATTTAAAACCTGCTTTCTTTGAAAAATTAAACTTGTTCCCTTTTTAAAAATGACATCATCCAAGATGTGTTTTTAATCAATTATCATTGCCGATAATTCAGAGGGCAACATGTATGGAAAAACAATGGCATGATTAACTAGGCGCTGACCTTGTATCATGGCACTGGTCCAGGGAGAGCTTATTAGTTTTAGCTAGCAGTAAATATAAAGCCAAGGGCATCATAAATCACAACAGTAGGATTAATCTGAATATGAATCAGGCATATGGGTAAAACTGAGACATTCCTAGTTAGTTTAAAAACAAAGATATGAGGCCAGTGAAGAGGAAATAATAATTTTCATACCCAGGTCTATGAACAATCCTTTTCATTTTATCTAGAATTTCAAACTAAAGAAAATGGTCCTTCTGTTTAATTGAGAATTTTCGTTAATTAAATAACTCAGAAACATAAGCACCTAAGATTGCTTCTGATTCAGGTCAGGGTGAAAATCTTTGCAGGGGAGATATATGTATTTTGCTTCTTAAAATGTTTTGTTGAGTCATATCATTAGATGCCTGGGGAGTCAGTGTAACTTAGTTATGCATAGTTTTAGCCCCATAAACTCATTTGGTTTAGTTTACCTGGCTCACCAGATATTTTCATTATCACAAAAATATCATGACCCATGCTTTGCTATGCCAGCCAATTAATGGGCTCAACCATATTAGACAATGATAGAAAATGGACTGCATAAATTTTTGAGCCCCATTTTGATTAATCTCTAATACACACACGTATTAGTCCATTCTTGCATTTCTATAAAGAACTACCTGAGACTGGGTAACTTATAAAGAAAAGAGGTTTCATTGACACAGTTCTGCAAGCTGTACAGGAAGCATGGCTGGAGAAGCCTCCTGAAACTTACAATCATGGCAGAAGTTGAAGGGGAAGCAAGCAGGTCTTACATGGCAGGAGCAGGAGAAAGAGAAGGAGGTGGGCAGGTGCTGCACACTTTTAAACAAGCAGATCTTGTGAGAACTCTATCATGAGAACAGCAAGGGGGAAGTCCACCCCCATAATTCAATCACTTCCCACCAGTCCCCTCTGCTAACACTGAAAATTACAGTTCAACATGAGATTTGAATGGGAATACAGAGTTAAACCATATCAACACACATGCGCTTAATCAGTATTTTTTAAAGAGCCTTATGTCATGACACTTTTAAACTTATTTTTCACATGTAGAAGGAATATTATAAGAGTTTGCTGCATTTGGGGTTGGCAATAGATGTTTTTCCTAACTGTCATGAATATGTTCATCTTAGTTTGCAACACTTGATCATGAGCCAGAATCCACATGTTTGAGTTTGTATACTTTGTGTTTTCCAGACATCTATCTATGGTAATATGGTCATCAGAGGAAGATGGAAGAGGGAAAATGCCATCTATGACCCCAAGTCATTATTTGGCTTTATGGTAGAATAGCAAGAATACAATTATTTTAGTAAATATAGTTTTCTTTTTAATTTTAAGAGAAAATTCAACAAACTAACTGAGTATGGAAACACAACCAAACAGTATACTAAGCCAGTGATATTAGATATTCAGAAACATACATGTGCTTCATACTCCTTTGGGGTTTCTATATAGACATTCCTCTATGCATATATATTTATTTTTCAAGCAGACATACTGACATATGTAACATATATATTTCCCCCACTGTCATCTGCTTATAAGCCAGCTGCTATTGTTGCTTTGATATTTTCCATTAAGACTTATTTGTTCTTTCCCAGAGGCACTGATAGTATTCACTATGGTGTAAGTTGTACTGATGGCCTGTTTCTGTCAGAAGATGAATTAATGTGAGATGCCTAATTCCAGAAGGCTCCTAGGAATCAGAAAAGGTGGTCTGCATCTGTCTTTTCTCCAGCTTGGTTCATTCTAGAAATGCATGTGCAAAAAATAAAAAAATCAAACCAAATGTCTTTGAAGCACTTTAATTGTTTTAGAGATTCACATTCAGAACAAAGCATGGATAGAATGGCTAGAATAAAATTATCATGCACATGTGATTACTATCCTGGGATGGTGATACACATGTCTTTAACCCGTCTGAGAGAGGGTTAAATTAACTTAGTAAATTAAAAGATTATATCAGAGGAAGTTAAAAGAGAAAGAAAAAAATCTATTTTTATGACTGGAGAAAATCTGAAATTATATAGGGTAGGTGAAATTTTTATGTCATTCAATTTTGTTAGGATATAGCAAGCCAATTAGATAAAATTAAATTTCAAGCCTGATTGATTTTTTAAATATTCATTTTAAGCACTGCATTTGCTGTTTATTATATTATACAGGAAATATCAAAGAACGTCTGCTGCACCCAGGAATTAAATGAAACCTATACTGTCAGTAGCCTAGCAGGGGCTTTTGATAAAGTATTATGACATTTCTATATTATGCAGCATCATAAAATGCTAAACATACACAGAACACAGGACTATAAGTTTAAGAAAGTACATACTGGAAGCTGGAGTGTTTTGGCATTTATAGCTGGCTAGCACGGGAAGATAATGAGGAGTTTGATACTTTGGAAATCATAACTATGAAATATATAACAATAGTATCCCATCAAGCTGGATCATATATCACACAATATTGGAGGATAATTCAAGTCTGCAATGCAATCTGCTTTTCATTTCAAGTGGAGGGCCAATGTAAGCCATAATTTACCCAGGTAGTACTCATGTGGGAAATAATGACAAATTTAGAGCAACTCATGACAAAGAAATCCACATAGGAATAACAAGAAAGATTTTATGTCCTCTTGGATCTCAACTTTTTTTCCTTATTATTCGTACCTTTCTTTATAACTGAAAAACCTTTTGTGTTAAAATGGATTTGTGATAAAATATAAGTGTTTACTTAAAAATATATAAATATACACATACAACGACCAGGCATTGGTAATTTCCCAAACTGTTGATAAAGTGGGATAAATTTACATGACAGATAAATTTACATTCCCAGTATTTCCCAAACTGTGGATGGAGATAAAGTGGGATAAATTTACATGACAGTTTATTGTGGGCATCTCAGGTTCCAGGAAAATTTGAATTTAATTCTTTACTAGGAATAATTTTTCATGTTAAGATACACAGTGACTCTTATACACCAATTATTTCACGATCAGAAAACCTCTTTGGCATCATATAGAAATGGAGATGGGGTGGCATAGGACCGGCACTTCTGGATTTTGGAGGCAATTCAATAACTGATAATTCTGTTTCGACTCTTCACCTCAGTATTTAATGAGATACTAAAAGACAGCTGGGCGACAGAAGGAATTGTTGAAGAAAAATAGAATAGGACTTTGTGATCTGACAAAATAGTGGGAATTCTTTGGCCATGGCCACTTTCTCTATGTAGGCTTTGGCCAGGTGCCTCCATCTTGTGACACTAGCTACAAACATGGCAGTTAAAGAGAAGTATAGAGGGAGTTCGGTGGTATGGACCTGAGTGTTAGATTCATCTCTACCCATATTCACTTTTTCTATCACATAGAGATACTTCTCCGTTCTAAAATCTAAGTTCATCATGAAATAGGACTCTAAGGTTCCAAATTGTGTAACATCCCTCCTGTATATAAGGTAGGGTTCCAAGGTCATGAGCTTTAGAGAGAAAGAGAAGGCTGAATCCTGTCTCCACCACTGATCAGCTGTAGGGTTTGGGGTAAGTCACTCCATCTCTGTGGGCCACAGTTTCTTTATCTATAGAATGGAGTGCCAAAAATTATGGTTCAATGCCCAGCTCTTTTATGCTTTGGTTGGATTCAAAGATACAGTAAAAATATATAAAAGAATGAATTTTTATATTTTAATATAAAATGATATCAAAATAAAAATATATTTTATATTAATATAAAATATAATAGCTACTCCATGGTGTTGTTATAGGCATGAAAATGAATATATTATTTTTTTAAATAAGAGAGTAACAAGTGATTATTATTATTTTAATGATATTTTTAAAAGATGCTATTTCCACCCATCAAATGCTGTATATATTTCTGAGTGATACTTATAGAGAAGGAACAATGAGTTAGAGAATAATTTCTAATATTTTTATGACCATTACTTGGTGATAACTAAGAATTCTTGAATAACAGTAATCATTATCAGTATTACTTTTTGTCCCTTCCACTCTTGCACATAAGTTGTTCAGTTTCCTGGAGAAAGCTGGACTTCTTAATTGACAAAGTGACACCTTATGATCATCACTAAGCTCAATAAAGATTGTTTGAAAAATGTGTCAAACTTTCTTAATCAAATCGAATTAAAACCTTCTTTCTGATCTAAAACAAAACAAAGTAAAAAGACTTAAATTGGACATAAAAATACCTTCATTTGCTTAATGATAGCAAGTTCGAGCACAAAGAACAGAATTTCCTAATATTTTCCTTAAAGCTATTTGTAACTCTATAAGATAAACTATGGAGATGAAAATCAGCAAGAGAAAGAAGAAAGATAAAGTATGGGAAAAAATGTGAGCATTTGATATTTTCTTGGCATGAAGATTTTTTATTTAACCCTTTAAAAGTTTCAATTGTTTGTTATAACTTTATTTTTGTTTTTAAACAAATCTCTGTGTGGAGGACTGATTTTCAACAGATCACACCAAGGGGGCTGTTCTGCTACGTATGAAACCTGACCCAGAAGCAGATCATTTAGGAATGGTTTAGCACCAGGTTTCCCACAAACATGCTTTGTGAGGGACGACGGTGACCACCTTTCTTTGTGTTTAACTGAAGTGAAACCTACACAACATAAAATTAACCATTTTAAAGTGTACAGTTTGGTAGTAGTTAGTCCATTCACAATGTTGCGCCACCGCCACCTATCTAGTGGTGAAACATGTTCATCACCCAAAAGGAAACCCCATACCCATTGAGCAGTTAGTCCCCATATAACCCTTTCTGCAGCCGCTGGTAACTGTAATCTACTTTCTCTATATACACATTTGCCTATTCTGGATATTTTATATAAATGGAATTATATAATATATAGCCTTTGTGTCTGGTTTCTTTCACTTAGAATCATGTTTTTGGTAATCACCTACTGTTTAGCAGATATTCCGTCTTTTATATGACTGAATAATACTGTCTTGAATACATGTACCACAATTTGTTTATCCATACATCCACTGATGAATAAGTTAAATCTTTACATAACCCAAATCTCCGCTGATTCTGTAAGCTTGGGGCATTAATAAGTCACAGTGTCAATAGAATCTGAACTTTCACGGGTTCATTGTCTTCACCCACATTCTGAAGCGCCACCCTTCAAACTTGCCTCCTCTTCTGTCTGAGAGTACCCAGGAATGCCTCATGTTGGCTCAGGATGTCCCCTCTCAAATTCTGCTGTAGATTCCTATGGATGGACACCGCACATGAAATCACTTAGAGGAGTTGCCTCATCTCCATTGAGAATACCATGGCCAAGTCACTACAGGTGCCACCTGAGCAGCTCCCATGCCAGGTGGGAGCTCATCACCTCCCCTCCCTACAAAAAATTTCAACCTTAATGCCAAACTCTCTCTTGCAAATGCGCCCCTGGATTGGTGAGAGTGGGTGAAGCTGCTGGGCACAACAGTTCCATGGATCCACTGACCTGTGTCTAAGGTTTAGGCCTTGCTGGGATCCCAAAGATACTGCCAGAACTCCAATCTCAGTGAAAATGAACAAGAAGGAAAATGAACATTTATGCAAAATAATCTTCTTAGTAAAAGAAAAAGAAATATATTTTCATGTATTGGAAATGAATATTTTTCATTAGCTCTGACTAGTGCCCAAAATGAATTCAAAACATGTTATATATGATTCCAGTATTTTAAAGACGTACATGTGATCCGACTTTCAGTGAGGGAGATGGTGGTGAAGCTCACTGTCTTTAGAATGAAATGGGGAACCACTTTTCGTGTCTTTTCCAGCACTAAAAACAACGGAGCACACACAGAAATTGGAGCTTCGCATTTAATCTTTTAAATTTTTCTTTGTTTTATTTGGGCTAAAGTTTATGTCCCTATCTTAGTTGTCCTTAAAAAGCCAAAGAAAAATCAGGTTGAACCTGTAGTTAAGAGACAAACCTATCTTTTTATATCTGAAAGTTCTTGAGTAAAACATTACTCATACAGTACCATCTTCCTAAAGTTTATGTTCAATTTTTAACATTTAAGCCCTATTATTTTTACTTAAGCATTGTTTTCTAAAACAATAGAAAACAGCTGCACATATTCTGATAACGGTTGGCATCTTGAATATTATTATTTAATTAACATTACAATAATTTCCTCCATTTAGGTCCAATAACCTCAATACCTTTTACATCCTTTTATGTCCTCTTTGCCAATTACGTAGTCATTTCAGATGTTTTACTTGAATTCCTTTACACCTATTCAGAACCACTCTTTCCATCTTATTCACTCTTTTAAAAATTTTGAACACAAAATTGAAAGTTGCATGATATAATAATAATACTTAAATTACATATTTCAGAAAACCTATGATTTAGCCAGTATTTATGAGGAAGGTAGCATTGGCTTAAATCTCAATAGCAGGGCTTAACTTAGATTTACTTATTTACTTATAAACACCCTGAGTTCTTTCACAAAGAAATTGTGAGAGCTTACAAAAATAAACATAAAAAAGATAAAACAAACAAGTGACAGAAACAGAGTAAAGGGGATAGAAGGGTCATACTATAATAAAGCCCTTGATGTACAGAAGTATAAACATATGTTATGTACACACTGTAGTTATTAAGGGTAGGTCACATATTTGGCCTCAAAGCTTTTAGCAGTGAAAGCAAAAAGGAAACTAGTATCAGTTACAAGAACCAGGGTTCCTAAGACTTGAAAATGAGAACGAAATAGAAAACTGTAATTCAGGAAAAAAAATATACCCCAAACTAAAAATCTGAGAAATTTCCCTCATGGCTTCTCATAAAAAGGTATTGGATAATGTAATAGAAAGCTCCCTACAGTAGGTACAGTGGTACATTTTATTGGACTGTTTCCTATGGTGCTTCTCAGTACAGACAACTGGCATAAACTGCAATTTAGGGAAAGTCAGTCAAAATGGTGCCAAAAATTATGGTTCAATGCCCAGCTCTTTTATGCTTTGGTTGGATCCAAAGATACAGTAGAAATATATAAAAGAATGCATTTTTAACATGCCCATCAAGCCTATACCCACAGCTCCTACAACCCACTTTTTGATAAGGATTAAATAGCAAAAACACTTTTATCTGCCTGAACGAATCTAGAGTACAGCTATTTGATGCGGCCAATTAGGAGCGAAATCATATCCCCCAACACTGAAACAAAAATAGGGTCTTCAACCCCCTTCTTTATCGGAAACTCATGGGGACCTAATCTTAAGAAAAAATGCTCATCATCACTGGCCATCAGAGAAATGCAAATCAAAACCACTATGAGATACCATCTCACACCAGTTAGAATGGCGATCATTAAAAAGTCAGGAAACAACAGGTGCTGAAGAGGAAGTGGAGAAATAGGAACACTTTTACACTGTTGGTGGGACCGTAAACTAGTTCAACCATTGTGGAAGTCAGTGTGGCAGTTCCTCAGGGATCCAGAATTAGAAATACCATTTGACCCAGCCATCCCATTACTGGGTATATACCCAAAGGATTATAAAACATGCTGCTATAAAGACACATGCACACGTATGTTTATTGCGGCACTATTCACAATAGCAAAGACTTGGAACCAACCCAAATGTCCATCAATGATAGACTGGATTAAGAAAATGTGGCACATATACACCATGGAATACTATGCAGCCATAAAAATGATGAGTTCATGTCCTTTGTAGGGACATGGATGAAGCTGGAAACCATCATTCTCAGCAAACTATCGCAAGGACAAAAAACCAAACACTGCGTGTTCTCACTCATAGGTGGGAATTGAACAATGAGAACACATGGACACAGGGAAAGGAACATCACACATCGGGGCCTGTTGTGGGGTGGGGGAGGGGGGAGGGATAGCATTAGGAGATATACCTAATGTTAAATGACGAGTTAACGGGTGCAGCACACCAACGTGGTACATGTATACATATGTAACAAACCTGCATGTTGTACACACGTACCCTAAAACTTAAAGTATAATAATAAAAAAAATAAAAAAAAAGAAACAGTGTGGAGAAGAAATAATATGTCAGCTCAGAGGAATAGCTGAAATCGCCTGTTCTGTCTAGGAACCATTGGCCTTAACAACATACAGGTCTGAGGTACTTGTATGGAAATGATATCTATAGGTAGCTACAGATTTCTTTGAGAAAGAGAAACTCAAATTCCAGTAGAATTAGTGCTACTGATGTTTAAAGAGGTGGACGTGGATACTGATATTTATGGAAGATGTGTGTTTCAATAGAAAAATTTGTTTTTGGTTTATTTAAGGTCAAAACACCAATCATATTTGGTGACTATAAAAATCATGTGAAATGCATACAATGAGCTGTAAATTTAGTTTTTATTCGTTTGGCTTTCCACAAAATTAAAAATAAAATGCCATGGCTCATTTGCCAAACACATGAATTATTTGGTCAAATTCATTTTGGGGGAATCTGGAGAATGTTCCATTGCTTAAAAGAGGAGGCTTGCTGCCCACCCTACCCTACTCAATTCCCATGAGGTAAATGCTGGAGAAGAGAATTCTCCTGGAAACAATTTCCAAGTATGTATTCTCAAAGCAAAAGAACTTCTTATTTGCTGCTCAGCTCCCTTCCATGACCAACGGCAGTTTTGTACCATTGTTTTTTTTTTTTCTTCTGCTATAACCTCTCATCCTCACAGTACTGAAAGAGTTTAAACAAAAATGACTTTGTTTGGTTCTGCAGAATTAACACGACATTCGGGCTTATTTCTAACTGAATGCAGATGTTTTCTAAGCAGAGAAAAGCCTCCGACTTGTGTGCATCATTCTTACACTGCCCTAATGGAGAGAAGTGAGTCCAAAATTAGCAACTTTTTTTTTTTAAACAAATCTGGCCATGTGCCACATAGACTTTCTTTTCTTTCTTTCTTTTTTTTTTTTTTTTAATTTTCCAAGCAAGTACAGACAGAATTTCTTTACAAGTCTATACTTTGAGGGCTACCGTCTTTAAAATAGAAATTTAAGGAAGAAAGCAAGCCAAACTGATTAGTTGTCCATGTGTCTCTCTCTCCTCTGCTCTCTCAGAAATAACACTAAAAAACTCACAAAAATGTAGACCTATGTATGGCATAGCAGCAGGCTTTGGAGGGAATGTGGTCAACTGAAGGGGACTGTTTTGACTGTCTTGAGACTGAGTTGCTGACATGGACAAACTTGTGAACACCAAATGAAGAAAGGGACGCTCTGTGTTCTTTCAGCTCCTCGCCTCAACAATTTGCCACTGAAGATTTAACAATCTCATCGTTCCCTCCAGACTCAAGGGTGTGTGTTTATATGTCTAGAACAGCAGGCTTTGGGGCTGATTATGTTGTTTCTCTTAAAAACTCACTTTGATTACTGAGAATCTCATAATTAGGCGGTTTCTATACAATATCTGTGCTCCAGAGGCCTGACCACAGGGTTGAAAAGAAAAGAAATGCACAGCTGATTGGAACTTTATGATTTAGATGAAGGATGTGTGTGTCTTGTTCTCTTCCTTGCCCATTGGTGGAAGAGTTCAGGACAATTAGGCAAACTTTCAAAATCTGTGATTACATCTAATGTGAAAATAAGGAATTCCCTGAAGTTGGACATGCATTCATTGAGAACAAAATAGTGTGGTTAGAAGGGTAATATGTTAATTCTAATGAACATAAAAAGATCAGTTCCTGGTTTATAAGTATGATTGGACTTAGATATTCACGTAAAGAAGATTCCTTAATGCATGCTGGGCTTAATATCTCAGTGATGGGTTGATAGGTTCCGCAAACCACCATGGCACACGTTTACCTATGTAATACACCTGCACATGCAGAACTTAAACTAAAAATAAAAATTAAAAAGAAGAAGATTCCTGACTTTCACTGGTATCTTCCAATCCCTCACTCAACCCACTGATATGAGAATAATTCTAATCTAGAGCACCTTTGCTGTCCTGACAGCCATTGGGTTTTATTGACTTCGATATGTTGTATGCTGTAAAAATTCACCTGCAACAATAGCATTGCACTAGGTTTTAGGGATCTAGAAAACACTGGCCTGTTCTGGTTTTGCATTCACAGAATTATTTTCATGGATTTGATTCTACAATCATGTAGATCCTAGTTTAGGTAGGTGAAGCACCCTTTTACACAGAGTTGAGAATAATTTTTAGAGCAAAGCTCTACATTTTGGGGAGAGAGAAATGGAAAAAAAGATATTTATCTCTATTTTTTTTTCAAGTATCATAGATCTTCCAAGGAAGTTTTCATTACAGAGCCAAAGTCGATTACAACTTTGAGAAGCTAGAAGTAGAATCTGATTTCTGGGGGATTAATTCTTCCCTCGTTCAAATAGCATATATGAGAATGGAAAGCTGCCTGTGAGAAATATGTTGGAGCGTGTGCTGGGACAAAGTCAACAGGTGAGACTCCTTCAGAAAACCTCTTGGGTGTTAGCATTGCATTTTCTGTTTTAGAATAATGCTTGGCAGATAATAAAGAAAAAATAGGTATCTAAAGGTTGTATATGTTATGTGACCCTTATTTAACGTGAAGGCACTGTCTATCAGGCCAGGTTCATGCCAGGTAAAGTCACAAGAGCATATCCCCCTGCTTGGTTTTAATCACATTGTGGGAAAGTGTTATTAATGAAATATGTATTATCTCTTGAAACATTAAAAACCCAGAAATCTTTTAATTTGCCTTAATAATATAATAATATGTTCCTGAGAGCGGGGAAGTTTTAACAGATTCAGCCACTCTCCAGATCTAGGAGATGATTTGGGGCTTTCATAATAAATAATTAGTATGCTATCTAGAATTAAAATTTACAATATGAAAGTCTAGGAAAAATAATTGTTGGAGACACGAGAAACATTGAAAGAATTTGACTCGCCTTATAAGTACCATCTGCTTGAGTGTTCTTAAAGATTCACAGATGTTAAGATTCTCTATTTAAAGTATCATACCTGTCTAACCTATTATTTTACCCAGCAAAGGCCAAGATGAACAAAATATAGTACAAAAAAATTTAAAAAATAAAAAGATACCAGAAACACTAGCAAACCAAATCAACACCTGTTTCTTTCAAACCTTGAAGGGGCGGAGGATTATATTTGAAGTATGTTCATATTTAAATAGTAGTAAAAAAAAAGCTTGAATAATCTGCAATCAAGGAAAACATTTTAATCCAATTTCAACTAAAATGACAAACTGAGAATATCGAATCTAGGGAATAGTTTTGTTTTCCATCCACACAGCATCAAAGAACACATAGAGATACGGACTGAAATATCCACAGGATAAAAGCCTTCCTACACCTTAGAAGTTCAATATTAAGCAGTTCTAAATGTACTTATTTTTCTGTTTCTTTTTCTTTTGGTTTCAGTTTCTGTTTGTAACCCGCTCTGGTTAGTAACCTATAGAGTACAAAGCTAATAGCTTTTAGCTGAATAATTTCTGCTTTGAAAGGAAACTCATAGTGTGATGACATTCTCAGGTTATCTTGTAATTGATTGTTTCTAATGGATGAGTCTTTTTGTTTAACTAAGGATTTCTGACCTTTAAGACTGTTAGTATTTTTAGGTGGTATTTACTCTGTTGATATCTTCCTTTCATTGTTTCTCTGCACTCTTTGTGCGTAGTTTCTGTGTTTAAGCTAGCAATTTCAAACATTTTGAAAGTAAACACTTAATCTCCTCGGTGTGTATACTTTCTGGTCTGTGCCTGTGAAAACACTCTCCTAATGCATTAGAGAGATGTTGAAACTTTGGTTTCAGAAAAACCTTAGAGCTTCTTGTTGCTGAGGGAGAAGGGAGACTTAATGTGGCTTACCAAATTTGGTTTGTTTTCTATCTGAACTTTGGCTTATTATATCTAATTATATCAGACCTTGGCATTTTAAACACTTAATGAGAAAAGAGGAAAAGAAATGAAATCCTTCAAGATCTTTATATCATGGATTATTTTCTACTACTTAGGAATGATATGGGGTAAAATAATGGCATCTATTCTGCAAGAATAATATCAGGTTATAAATTATCTGCCAGGTGGTTTGAGGCAATTTTCCCAGGTTGGAAAAAGATGAGGGGACATGTCCACATTTTACCAGTAAAATAAAGTCTAAAAAAAACCTTTAATGATGTTCTAAAGGAGAGAATCAAGCAACCAAGGGGTTTGGGAAATCTGACAGAATTAATGGAACCCTGTTTTTTCTTAATTTGTTTTGTGCTTAAGGACTTGGAATTCTGTAATAAATGTTGAACCCCTAATTTACATTGCCTGGAGTTGCCAAGCTCACTCCTGCTTTCAGCTAGCCCACCTGAATCCTTGCCCAATGGCATGGCCCCTGGAGTGGGAAGGTTGGCATGAGAGTGAAATGATGCCTGTGATTCACTGCACCCTAAAGTGGATGTCACCCCATCTTTGAAAATCATTCCTGTGTTAGTTAGCCAAGCAATCCTGTTTGTAAGGAACATGGAAACCTCTCAGGACTCTTCTAAGAATAACAGCAATAATAAAAAGTGAGGTACTTAAGCAGTCCCAGCAAGCAAGAAAATGCAACAAATACCATTCCATTTACCAGCTTTCAAAAATTGAAAAAAGGAGATTTAGCACAAAGTGCACTTAAGAAAGAAAAATCAAGACAGTCTAGCAGAAGCTGGGGGAGGAGGGAACACACGGAGTAAAAATTCCCTCTGAGCCCACGGAAAGCAATAAGAGTTCTCATTTAACCTTGGAAAATGACTTGAGAATCACTTGTACTTTGAAACGAATCTAAATTGCAAACTAATTTCCCAGTGGGATATGTTGATGGCCTACTGTACACAGCATAAATAATGAGTTTGCAACCAGGACCCCAAATAAAGCAGTGCACGTCTGTGGAATTTATGAGCATGTTTCCCCACCTCCACCATCTGACATTGCAATGTTAATGCTTCCAGTTAGGAGTTTTACTGTGTCAGCAGGTGAATTCCCTGGCAGTAAGTCAAGCTTTAATGGAACATGCTGGTAGGAACGATTACGCTGCTGCAGTGTAAAACTCTGGTGTCAGTATTAGGCTCCTAGAATACATGGGCATGGACTGCCACCTACCCTGTTTGCAGGTGTTCTTAGCTGTTTGACTTTCAATACTTTACTTTAAGTTGACCATGACAAAGTAAAATTTCTATCTTATAAAGGATTTTAGAGCTGGCTGATATAATGAGGTCTAGTCACACCTTCTTTTTTATATAAGGAAGAAATCCAAGGCTGGAGGGGTAAAGTGGCTGGCTAGATGATACATGTTAATATGTGGTCGAACTGGGACTCTAAACTAGGCCTTCCCTACGCCTTTGGTGTTCTTATAAAGGATGCTGCCTTTGCTGGAATCAAAAAAGGTGGATGCAATACATTTCATAAATGTATTTAGAAAAACTTGGCAAGAATTTGAATCTGAAATATAACAATAATAGAAAGCAAAGCATGCATCTAGTAGAGCTGAACATCCAGACTTCTCAAACTGAGAAACAGGCATACAATGAGACAAGAGCACAAGTGATTGGGATAGTTTTATAATCACTCAAATTTAAACTTACTACTAGGTTGAATGGCACTGAAGAATAAATGTCATGCCTCTAAACAGCTCATTGGAGATGAGACCTGGTGACTTTGCAAAGTGAAGAAATCCGTCTGAGGTAGGAACAACTGGTATTTGCCAAAAAAAGGCTTGTGCGCCTTATGGGTTAGGAAGTTCCATCCTGAGTATGCCCAGCCATAGCACTTCTGGGATCACTCATGGGAGTTTACGCTGTGGAGGAGATCTGATTTCCTCCACGAGAGCAATGCCTAAATTCTTAGCCTCTTATCCCAGGGTGTTAACTCTGCTACATGATGTGGCTTCTGTTCCTCAAAGCTGTTTCAGCTAAACAACCTTCCTTAAGCATCTCAGGGGTCTCATAGCTTGCAAATAATGTTGCTTTATTGCACTTTCTCTATGAGATCCCAAAGTAAACAAATGAGATCTGAGTTCCAGCCTGACCTAAAAGTTGGTGTCACCATTACAAAGCCATCTTACCTGGATTGGGAATGCCAACCAGTGATCCTTCCCTCATCAGTTCCTTTCTTCCTTCATTACATCACCTATCTCAGACAGTTAACCCTCCTTTCAAAGCCCCTACTCCACTCCTTGTCTGCTCCAAAAGTTGTCCACTTTTCTGACATAGCCTTTTCATGTCAGCAGGCAAATATGTTCAAATCTTCTAAATCTAAGAACCAAAAGAAAAACAGAAACAGAAACTAAAAAACTTACTCGGCTACACATCTCCCTTGAACCATTACTCTGCCAAACTTCTATCAAAAGCAACCTTTACTCCCAGTTCCCTGTCTCTGCCTCCACACTTCAGCACCTTTACTAGGAACATATAATTCTGCACATCCCACCCTGACACTGCTTTACCAAAATTATCAATTACTTTCCAGATGCTTCCATCAAATAACATGTTTATTTCTCCAACCCACTCACTTCTCTGCTAACATTGTTTTGGAGAACTCCTCTTCCTCCTTGTAACTCCTCTTCCTCCTTTGGTATCAGGGACACCATTTTGTTCTGATATTCTTGTAAGTGTTCTTGACAGTCCTCAGCAGGTTCCCATCTCTATCTGTTAAGTGTTTGTGTTCCTCACAATTCCATCACCAGTCTTTATTTTTGTACTATTCCATTTACTTTCTTAAGTAAAACTATGTCTCTTATGGCTGCAACTATTTTTATAATTCCCAAATCTGCATTTCTAATCCACACCTCTCTTCTGTGCAACAGATAAATATGTTTTGCTGTCAACTAATCTTCCTTTGCAGGAGTTTACATATAAATCTGTCTAAATAGATGAAAATATGAAGACAGCACCTTCTTCTCTAAATCTGTCCAATCCCTCTGTGTCCATCATGATGAATGACATTTCCACCTACCCAGTCAACTAAATCAGGTAACCCAGGAATGTATTCTTTACTTCTCCCTCACCCTTAGCTTTTCACTTCAGTTGGTGGCAATTCTCTATTTGTTTATGTGAACGTTTCTCAGATTTTCTGCCTCTTTACCAACTTCGTCATTAGTTCAGACCATCACCTCCCTCCAGATTATGGATGAATGATGTAACAAAGTGCATGGTTTCCCTGCCTTCATCCATGCCTTCCTCCATTTGTTTCCCCCAAAATGCAGTGAGATGAAGAACATTCTTCAAGTTCTCCCAATTTTTAAGGTTAAAAGCCAAACTACTTAACATGGCATAGAAAGCTCTTGCTCTTTCTCATTTCTTCCTCTGTAGTTTGAAACACATTGTCTGGAAAGTCCCTTCCCCTCTCATGCCTCTAGAGGCCCCTAAATATAGCACTTTGTACCTAAATGCCTCTCCCACTCTCTTCACTTCATTATTTCCTATTCATCTTTTAAAATTTAGCTTGACTTCCTTTTACGCACTCAGATTGGGTTATGGTTATGTTCCAAGCTCCCACAGCCCCATGTGCTCAGCTCTGCCATAGCATGTACATAGTATTTTTCTTGGTGTTTATCTCTTCCATTTTCCATAAGCTATTTGGTGGAAGGTAGGGACCATATATTTTAATACCTCATAATGCCAGACCCTTAGTAAGGATTCAGTACATAATTCCTAAGGGAATAGATGGCCAAGTATCTAAAGTAAGTACATATTATAATCGTGATCATACATTCCCATGTATATGTTTTTATGTATTTTTAATCTTTTGGTTCAGTTATATTCATTTACTAACCATCAAATTGAACACTGCATTTCTTTTTCAATTCTTAGCTCTTTATGCTAATAACACATTAATTGAAGACTTGCTATTTTCTCAGGCATATATTTATTACTTTGCAGTTATTCACTTACTTAATGTATAAGTGAATGTGTAACTACATAGGTAGTTATTATTATTTCACATGTGAGAAAACTGATGCACAGCGAGAAACAGAATGGAACCGGAGAGCCAGATGATATGGGCCGAGAGCCCTGTCTTAACTGCTATGACATTCTGCCAAATATCAGTATTTACACTGCCCTGGGGTTGTACAGCATGCTGGTTTTCTCTTCCATCCATTCTTTTTGTGAACACTGCTTAGAATGTTATTTTTTTTTTTTATCATTTTAAGCATCAATAGCAATAAATCACTCAACTTGAAGATTATGCTTCTTCTCATGACTAGCCTGTTCTTGTCTCTAACAGTCTCTAATACGTACACAGGATGGAGAATTGTTTCAATATAAAGTGTAAAGAGATGATTAAGAGAAATGGCCACGAATGAGTTCACAAGGGGCAAAAGGTGTCTAGATCTAAAAATGATGACACATTCCTTCAGAATCCAGAGGCAGTAAAAAGTTATTTAAAATATATTTAGAGCTTCTATCCAAACAGTTCCACAAAAGATATCCAAAGACAGTAGAGATTTATTTTGCATTTTTTGGGTATTTTTGACAGAATTGTGAGTGAAAATATATCCCAGTTAGTGCCCCTGACATGATGAGCTCTCCACATGTTCTTATACCTTTAGAATCATAGGCTCCCCAAACTTCCAATGATTGTAAAATCTTCACAAATAAGATTTAATGGCCCTATTCTAATACACACTTCTCCGAGTGCTAAGTGTTTTCTAGATTATTATGACTTGTGTCAAGGTAATGGTGACAGAAGGAATAAATCTGTTCATTTGTTTCTGCCTACCAGTTGAAAACAAAGTGAGTATCAGCCAACTTAATTCAGTTGAAAATGTTCTAAAATATCCTTCTCCCACAC
Source organism: Homo sapiens (assembly GCF_000001405.40). NCBI lineage: Eukaryota > Metazoa > Chordata > Mammalia > Primates > Hominidae > Homo > Homo sapiens. The sequence continues at coordinate 22,960,311 of NC_000006.12, forward strand.
AAAGCAAGATTTCACATTTGCAGAAAATATTTATCCCAAGCTGCAAGCAATGTTATATTGGCTCTTTGTTTCAGACTACTAAATCACCATATTTAGTAGTCTGCTTAAGCCAAGTCAGGTGTCTTTTCAAACAAAATGAGAAGGAAAAGTGTGGTGGGAAGTATCACATACTCTTAAAAGGACTGCATTTGCTTTAATCAATCTGTGATGGGTATCCATATCCATGGAGATGGTAACATAATCTGTATTGAATGAGAACTTTTGGCCAACCAGACAGTCACTGGCATTAGCCCACTGGGTGACATCCAGTGGTCAGTGTGGACCCACGACAGTGTGGTCTGACCAAATTTCTCAAAAGAAGCTGAGAGAAGTGGGGCACTCAGTTACCTAGACTTCACATTCGCTTGACTGCCAAGTGAAAACTAACTAGACATTTCCTTGTCTGGACTCTGATTGTGTCCTGTACTCTTGAATAATATTCAAAGTCAAACGACAATTTTCATCTTAACTCTCATCCCATCCTGACTGTTTAAATAAAAAAATCCTTTGTGTTTTTCCTTTTAGTTTCTAATGCATTCCATATGTAAAGCATGAAATAATTAACTAGCAAAATCCAATAAAAACAGGCTGTTTGTAGAATAATGTTTTTAAGTAATTTATTCTTTTTAAAGCATTTATTATTGACAGCTACAGTGTATCTGTCACTGAGCTAGGAAAAAGAAATGCAACTATAAAATATCTTCTTGTTTTTGAGTAAGTTACAATGTTTTGGGGGAGACGCACAAAAATAAGTGGGATATGATAAGTGATTTAGCGGTAATATGTATAGATTTATGGAAGACAAAAAATAGAACACAAAAATTCTTAGGGTTTAGGTGATAGCTTCAGAGAGAGTAATCTGTGCCTTTATGTGTGAATCAGAGTCCACCCAAAAAGGGGGTTTGCCTTATACAGAAGTACAGAAGCACTGAATGCCAAAAATGTCTGATCTTTCAACTTCTGCTGCTGTGGAGGAGGGCGACTGTGGCATTGGGAAGAGTGAAAAATGAGGAAACTTTTCTATTGGATCAAAGGAAAAGCATAGGGAAAATGACCTTGAGCTTCCATCTCAAAAGTTATTTTTGTTTTATCTTAATTTAGGGAGGTTTATAAATCTCTACCCATCACAGAATTGGAATTAGAGTGTATTTGCAAACATGTCAAGACACTGAAAAGATTTTGCTCCCTTTAATGGTTAGAAGCATTACTTAGATTGAGGCAATAGCAATTATGAATCAGAAGAATTATCAAAATGATATAAGGGAAGAATTGGATTCAAGAGAGATGTACAAGATGGAGTTTGAAGAACTGCAGATGCAGAGACTGAGAGCGCTCCCCCGTTATCTTGAAGGATTTCATCTCATAACACAGTCAGTCTTTCACAGACAAAGAAGCTGGAGCCATAGAATTATAATGATGAAGGAAGATGTGAATGAAAACTCCAGTCAGGATCCCTTGTCCTGTTGCTACCAGGTAAGATTACAAACACTATGATGAGGAGGCAATTCCATTTAATAGGTTGCAATTATACCTGCATATTACTTATTATGCATTTCACATATGAGCACCACGGCTAATGGTATAGCATTTAGTTTCACCTTTCTTGGCATGTGGGCAACGCCATATATGTATGTATACAAAGAATGAATTCATTGTAAATTATTGATTCCATAAAGTAGTTTTCTTTCCCCCACACTAATCCTTTGTTGGTTATTATAAAGTCCAGTTTAAAGGAATCTCTCAGTTCTTGTTGAGGAGAGGTCTTAGAAGCCAAAGGACCTGCCAAACATGTGTAGTGACTGTTGAGTTATCTCCGTGAGCTAGACCATGGTAAATGGTGGAAAAACAAGGGTTGTTTCAATTTAGAAGAGCCTCCCTGCAGGCTAGCTTCCATTTTACAGTTCCTGCCTTTCTATAAATGTAGCTTACATTGACAAAAATATAACAATCTGTGTTTGGTAGGTTCTTATGGTGGAGGTGAGATTAATAATTCTTTTGATGAGAGAAGAGTTTATGCGAGAGCCAAAAAGCTGTTGTGGGCAATGTATTTATAATGATTTGTGAAAAAAGTATGCTTCATTTTTGTTAATTACTGCTAGAAATGTTCCTCAGAGTCTGGGCCATGTAAAAGAACAAGAAAGGTATTCTAAGCTATTTTACAGAAAAGGAGAGAATTTGAAAGCTTTTAGTGTTCTCCAAATACCAACAGAAGATAACTTAAAATTTCCAGTACTCATCAAGAGTCCGGATAACCAAGAGCTAAATTAATCCAATTCTGATTGTCATATCTACCATTATTCATACCATTGATTTAGGACTAGCAATAACATCTGACTTCTTTCTGAGTCATAGAATAAAAATTAAATTGAGAAAAATTTTCTTGGTAAGTCTATTTAATAATATTCTGCTTATTTGAATATTGAAAAATTATATAAATATTATATATTTATCCATACACTCAAAAAAGCACTTCATTTTTAGTATCTGACAGACAGTATGCTAGATAGTAGGGTTACAAATAAATTAAGTTGGTTTCTACCCTCAAGAAGCTTAAAATCTATTAAAGCTAGGACTTTTTGCTTGTTTTGTCATGTCACTAAGGTCCATGGATCACATTCATCTATGAATGGTCACATTCATCTATGATGATGGGTTCACAGCTACTTTGCGAAAAAAGGTAGAGAAAGGGGCATTGGAAAAAATGGAAGAACAACAAAAAGACATTTATCACATATTGATAGCAGCACCTTATTCATTTTACAAAAAAGTGTCATTTTTTTCCCCTTAAATGGAAAAACTATTAGGATATTCAGGACAAAACTCATTCAAAAAATAACCATAGCCACACAATGGTAAAGAAAATTTAAGATTCAAGGCAACTGAAATCATAAATAGCTCATCGCTCAACTTAATTGTTCTTTCTCCTCTTAATACTGCCTGTTAACATTTTACAATTGGAATGTTTCCCATCTGTGCCTTTACTTGAATTGTGTGAATATAGCTGATGAAAACTATTATCACTCTGTCTTTTAGTCTTCGATCTGCTTTGTGTTGACACAATCATGAGCAGAAAAATGTTAGCTCAGTCATACACTTGATGTTATATGTGCTTTATGTTCCATGTTTAAAATTTCCCATCTGTACTTCAAACTGCTTTAGTCATTCTTATTGGGAGAGAGAATACCTACATATACACCGTGGAAATATTACCTATAGGATTGATAATAATTGTGAAAGTTGTGTTGCGGTCTTTAAAATATACAGGGTAATATTAAATGTAAAGACTCCTTTGTATCAATAAATGAAAATAAGAGAATGCATTATTTTAGCAAATGCTGGTTCTTGATATTCTTCCAATGCAGTGCTTTATTGATTCTTCTCGCTTATGTAATTTTACATGTTCTTCTCACATGTTCTTTCAGCACTACAATGATGGCTAAGTACTGCTCCAGAGGGCACCATTCACATATATATATATGTGAGAATTTGAAAGCTCCCGTATATATATACATATACATATATATATATATATATATATATACACACATATACATATATATATATATATACACATATACATATATATATATACGGGGATTGTGCCTCTGAGACTGTGCAATCCACAACCCACTTGGGTTTGAGCAGTGGCCCTGGGGTAGGAATCTCATGATTGTACTGTCATGTTGGTTTCAAACCAGAGTGAGGCCAAGTGAGATCAAATTCATATTGGAAAATCAAATGATATTGGACATTAGAATTCATATTTTATGCATAGGCAAATTTATCAATTGTGAGGTTGGAGAAGAAAATGAACCACTGGAGTAAATGAGAAAATCAAATGCTCAGACACAAGAGAATGCAACCCAAAGGTGAACTTGAAATCCGAGAAGAGTATTGGTTGTTCTTCAGGGGGTTTACTTTGTATTTTAAATGTGAAAACCGTACAAATTATTTGATTGCTTGTATATTGATATTGTCTACCTTCTTTGTAGTTAACATGATTTGAAAAAATTTGATTGGGAAAAAAATCAACAAATGCTATTTTACATTTCTGTATCAATAAATATTAGTACACAATTTAGATGAAAGTTTCTCTAGCTTAGATGATACTCAAAAATAAGCCTGTGAAAAGTTTTATTTTTTCAGTTTCTGAGGAAGCGTGATAAGATCATGACCATTTCCTCCTCTATGACAGATAATGCCACTGTCTCTCCTTGAGCCATTGTGAGAACTAAGTAATGAAGTCTCAAGAAGAAAGCAAGGTTTCCTCGAAAATCAGAGCTCTTCATTCAATTTCAGATGGAAACCTTGGAAGCACAGTATACAAAGATATACACTGCTATAAAGAACTACCTGAGATTGGGTCATTTATGAAGAAAAAAGGTTTAATTGACTCACAGTTCTGCAGGCTGTACTGAAAGCATGGCTAGGAAGCCTCAGGAAACTTACAATCATGGCAAAAGGGTGAAGGGGAAGCAAGAACCTTCTTCTCATGGCAGCAGGAGAGAGAGAGAATGAAGGGGGAGGTGCCACACACTTTTAAATCATCAGATCTCATGAGAGCTCACTGTCATGAGAGCAGCATGGGGAAAACCCATCCTCATGATCCAATCACCTCCCACTGGGTCCATCCTTCAATTCAACATGAGATTTGGGCAGGGACACAAATCCAAACCATATCAATGCTGAAAACACGATGTGTTTGAAATCCAGTTCGTCTTTTTTTGAGTAATTGCGTTAGAAGAAATATGCATTAACTACTTGAGTAAATTAATTGTTGTGGGAATTGTACTTGCTACAGAATGAATGTATGCATCCCCTCCCAAATGTGTATGTTGAAGACCCATCCACTAGTATGGCTGTGTTTGAAGTAAGAAAGTAATTAATGTTAAGTGAGGTCATAGGGGTGAGGCCCTGCTGTGATAGGATCAGTATCCTTGTTAGAAGAGACATGGGAGAGCTTGCTGTCTCTCTTGCCCCACAAGCATGTGCTCATACCAAGGAAAGCCCATGTGAGGATTTAGTGAAAAGGCAGACGTCTGCAAGCTAGGAAGACAGCCCCCACCAGAAAGAAACTGACCCTGTCAGACATTGATCTGTGACTTGTAGCCTCCAGAAATGTGAGAAAATAAATTTCTGTTGTGTAAGCCACTTAGTCTACCGTATTTTGTTATGGTACCCAGAGCAGACTAATACAGTGTTTTACAGAACAAGCTAATTATGTTTATTGATGTCCTTTGTTAAAACCTCCCTTTCGAAAATGACTCATGGAGAGCTTTCATATACATTAGTCTTAGGTGTCCTTAAGGTGGGTATTGCTCACCTATCCCCTTCATTTTTGTAATTCTCAGCCACAGAAGAAGCTATGTAAGATACCAGAAGTTACAACCAAAGAGACTGTTACATATTTGATCCTCCCAGAATATAGCTCAGACTCCTGAGTTTCTCTTTTTAATTATTATTTTTATCTAAGATGAGATAACAAAATGTTTACAGTGGACAGTGTAGATACTTAACTCAAATGATCCAAAAATTCTACAGGAACATTTAGTGGTGTCAGTGGAACATTTGTGCCGTTCAGTCAGTGGCAGATGAGCCATTTCTATGCTTGAGTAGATTTGTAGCTGATTAAATTCATGGCACATGATACCTCTTCCCTGGAAATATGCTAATTTCACATAGCTGTTTTATGATGGTGAGGTATAAGCACAGACTCTCGCATGTGTATACATGTGTGTATGTGTGCTTTCAACACATACTTCCTCTTTCTCCAGGCTTACTCAGGAAAGCATTTTCCAGAGAGCTTTCTTCTAGGCTTCACGTGCACATCTGCAGTTTTCAAGGTGAAAATGATTCCTCACGGATTGGTTTTAACAACAAGCCGGGTAGTGCAAAGTGAAGGGGATTAAGGCAGACAATGTGACCACACACCAATTTCCTCCCTTACAAACCTTTTATATCACTTATCAGGATTTTAATTCCATCTGCCAAGTAATGCAGGTCCCCAGAGCAGAGGTTATGCATGCAGCAGCCACAGGTTAAAAAGTCTTCAGCTGCTTTTTCATTATATTGTGCAATGCAATTTCTGTAGGCTTCTTCAGTGAGGGGTGAGTGTTGTTTGAATTAAATAGTGAATTCCTTAATTAATTAATTAATTTTTATAGGAAAAAAAATCATGGACTCTAAAGAGTATTTACCCATTGCAGGACAGGGATATCCGTATAATATTTATACCCACATATCCTCAATCTATTGATTGGCATCAAATTTACAACAGTCACTGGTTCTTTCTACTATGCTATTTTAGAAAGATTTAAGTTCAGGCATTTAAATATAATTCTTTTCTTGGAAGAGAGAAGATCTTTCTTTAGCAAAGCTGGAGTATTCATTGGCAGGCAGCAGAGACAGGCTGTGTTAATGTCAATTTCTTTACTTTTTATAAATGCCACCTGTGTTACCAGCATTGATTTGAAGGTGATGTAATTTTCTTGCAAATCCATTAGTTTTATAGGTTTTTGGCAAGCCCCACTGCTGTGTTGATTAGATATAGTAACTGTGTCTATTTAAACAGGATTTTAAATGCTTGGCTCGACTCTGTATTGGCTGGATAACAAGACATACAGTAGATGCTTTAACTTCAGGTTGTGCTAAGCAGTGATTTGACACACAGCTTAGTGTTTAGCCATTTGTGAGAATAAGCACTTTAATTGTGGAGTTAATTGCAGGTACCTGCCAGACATACCTTTAAGTGATCCTGACAAATAAGATACAGACTCTCCACCCTCTTTATGTGGATCTATTCTAACAGTGTTTCTCAAAGTGCAGTCCTCGGAACAGAAACATCAGCATCATCTAGGATCTCATTTGAATTGCAAATTCTTGGCCCCACCCCAGATCTACTGAATTAGAGACTCTGAGCCTGGGGCTCAGCAATCTGTTCTTTAACAAACCTTCCTGGTGCTTCTTCCCCATGATAGTTTGAGAACCATTGGTATAAAAGAATCTCTGACACAGGGGTGCTGCTATGTTTTGGTGGAGAACAATTCGATGTGAAACACTTCTAAATCATGCTTAATGAATTAACCTTCTATATCCAAATTAGCTAATGCTGGAAAATTATTTAATAATAATGAAAAACTGTCAGACATCTCTTAATTTTTAAATACCTGTTTTCACATGGATAGATTTTGGCTTATTCTGAGTGAATTAGGATTGAGGTTTGGGGTGATGGAAAGCAGCTTATCTTTTTTTCATATCTCTCCTTGCCTCCCCATTTTCATTATCTAAAGAAGTTAACATCGCATGCTCCATTAAACAAGATGCAGCTTCTATTATCTTTTATCTCTTCGTGCACCCTTTCAATAAATGCTACTTGATTACTCTTGCATGTTGCAAGAGACATTTAGAATAATCAAAACATCAAGAAAGTGAGATGCTTGGTTAATCCAGGGTAGTACGGTTTCCTTGGCACCAATAAACAAGTTGAGGCTGACACAAACACAAATTTTATTGGGAGACCTAAGATGTTTTGTAGGAGGGATAAGGTAAGAGAATGGCTCCTAACAATAAACAAACAAAACAGTGATAAATACATTTTCCAACAAAGAAGTGTTAAATTCGCCTAGGGAAAATACTAACCTTGATAATTTAGAGATCTGAAATTCACTGCAGTTATGTCTTAAAGGTGATTTAGTTGTTCATTTACACATTTATTCATTCATCAAATTTTAATTGAGAAGTTTTCATGTGTTCTACTGTTGACTCATTTTAGCTGGGCTGGAAATACATTTCCAGAATTCCCTTCCCTGCACAGTTTCCGGTTAGTGTAGATCACAGGCAAGAGACATTTTGGATGAGATTTGAATGGCAGAGTGAAGCACGGCCATATTCTCTCCAGGGTACTCCTGTCACTCATCTCTTGACTCACCATGTTGGAATAGGGCAACAGCCAGACCCACAGTGATTCCAGATGCTGTTCGATCCCCTCCTTTAACTTTCCAGGTTCCTGATCCGTGAGTGAGTTTATTTCTCTTACAAAAGATACCAGCTTCTCCTTCCAGTCCAACTGTTGTTATCAAAGATAGATTCATAGAGCTTGTTAAAAAACCAATATGAAATCCAGAACATTCTATGGATTCCAGCTTGGTTTCAGTTTCTGAATCTGTCCTTGCTCAGTCCTCCTCCCCGCAATTTCATATTCATCTTTCCTTCAGGACTTGTAGCCCTGCTTAAGGTGGGTCTTCTTATGTTATACTGCAGACACACTCTTTAACCAGTTCTCACTGTTTCATAATGTCATAGTGCCACAATAAATCCTATGTTAGTGTCTTAGTCTGTGCTGCTGTTACAAAATACCACAGGCTGGGTCATTCATAAGTAACAGAAATGTATTTCTGACAGTTCTGGAGGCTGGGAAGTCCAAGGTCAAGGCTCTACACATTTGGTGTCTGGTAAGGGCTGTTCTCTGCTTCCAAGATGGCACCTTCTTGCTGCATCCTCCAAAGGGGAGGAACCACACTGTGTCCTCACCTGGTGGAAGGTGAAGGGCAACAAAGGCCTAGCTAGTATCCTCTAGCCTTTTTATAAGCACTAGACCCATCTATGAGAGCAGAGCCCTCATGGTCTAATCACCTCATAAAGGCCTTACCTCTTAATATGTTGCATTGAGGATTAAGTTTCAACATGAATTTTGGAGGGGGCACAAACATTCAAGCCATAGCAGTTAGTGATCACTCCTAGTGGTCCTCCTTCTATTATAGAAACATGATACAACATTTGGTACTTGAAATGGTTCCAGAGGAACTGAACCTTGAGGATGGTTTCTCCAAATTGGTTCTTAGTTTTCTGGAATGCATTTTCTGCTTTGTTTAGATTGAAAGGCATTGCTGGCTCTGTATCCAGTGGTAAAGGGGCCAAGGCATACAGCGGTAAAACATTTACTTAAATTATTACTTGTAAACACTTGCAACCAAATGCATTTAGAAGGCAAGTCTTTAGTGACAAATGATGTGGTTTCAAAGGCCCCAAATCTCTGTGACATACAAGCCACAAATATTTATTTCTGGCTCATAATGCATAGGGGCACCTGCATGAGAGCTGCAGCTCCACTCCACCTGTCTTCTCATCTTGCATTCCATTTAGAAGGAACAATCTAGGCAACTCCCATTCTCATGGCAGAAGGGACAAGCAACAGTGCTGGTGAGAGCCTATTCCCCTCAAAGTCTAGGCTTGGATGTGCCATTGGTCACATGCATTCATATTCCATCAGGCAAATATGTCACATCGCAAAACCTGAATTCCATGAGGGAGGGGTGTATTATCCTCTTACAATAAAGGTGGAGCGAATAGTGGCTGACAACAATGCAACCAATCACAGTAATGTATTAGATGACTCAAAAGGGAGATTGCTTATTATTTATGAGAGGCCCAGAAAATCATCTTAAAGCATGGAATGAAAATATCATGAGATAAAAATTATAGTGAAAATAGAATGTAAATAAACAATAGCAGTTCCAGATAGGGGAAAAAAGCAATTATGGGACAGAAGCATAAGTTAAACAAATAATACAATTTTCTTGAAATAAAAAAGCTCTGATTTTGCTCTAGGCTAAATCGATTAGAAAATGATAAAACTAGGAAAATATTGGTAAAATTTCCAGCACTCAAAACTGGTCATAAACAAAAAAGTATACTTTTCCAATCAAAAGAAATAAAATATCCCCCAAGGGAAAAAAATGAGGCCGTTATCAGGCTTTTCATCTTCAATGCTCAAGCTACAAAAGAATGAAGTAGCAATATGAAGAGCAGTGGAAGTGAAAAGGGCTGTTGTACAAGAATCCTCTACCAGCCAAGACCTTATTTACTGGTGAAAATGAAAGAGAGAGAGAGAGCTTATGCAGGAATTCTCAGATCTTGTTTATCTCAATAACAACAACTAACCAACAACTACCACAAATAAATAAACTAGAACAGAAACCTGAAGTTTTTAAATAAGTAGAGCAAAATGTAATAAAAAATTGATATGCAGGTTATAAAGACAGGGATATAGTTTGCTAGCTAGATATAGGTAGATATAGAAATGTGTGTATATATAGCAATAGGCAGGACTACATTTAGCCAGTAAGTATCTGTCCAACCAGATTTGCAGTTTATGAATAACACCTTTTCTGAAATCTTAGTGTTTTAGCTGATTAAGCTGGTTTCTATGCCATACAAACTATTACATTTTAAATATCTCCCTTGAAATAGAAATAGTGGCATTTAAATTTCCTGAAAGGTTTTAAGAGAACATTTGAAATAGAAAGGATATACTGGCCTTGGCTTCTCTGCATGATTGTAAGTGCAACTTGGTAGAAAAACAGCAACTATATTTAGTTTCAATGAATAGACTATATGTAAGTATCTAGCAATCACAATAACTATCTTGACTGGAGAATTTCAGGAGAATCCTCAAATTAACGATGGAAAAACAATTAAATGAATGGAAACTAAAAGATGAGAAAAAATAGAAAAACAACAATGTATAATGAAGCATAAGATAAAATAAGAATGAATGAAATTGTTAACTGGTTTTCACGGTAAATAGGAATGGTAATTAAGAAACCTTGAGTCAATAAGAAAACCAAAAGTGAAATGACAAGCTATCTAGAAAATAACAAAAGAAAAACTTCATAAGACTATCTATATGTAACACAGCAAAATAATATCTACGTATAATTTTCCTCTTTTCTTGGATGAAATAAATAGCCTCAACAGCTTTTGATATTAAAGAAAAGAAGGAGGTTGGGTGCAGGGGCTCACGCCTGTAATCCCAACACTCTGGGAGGCCTAGGCGGGCAGATCACCTGAGGTCGGGAGTTCGAGACCAGCCTGACCAACATGGAGAAACCATATACTAAAAATACAAAATTAGCTGGGGGTGGTGGTACATGCCTGTACAAATCCCAGCTACTCAGGAGGCTGAGGCAGGAGAATCACTTGAACCTGGGAGGCGGAGGGTGTGGTGGGCCAAGATTGTGCACTCTAGCTTGGGCAACAAGAACGAAACTCCATCTCAAAAAAAAAAAAAAAAAAAAAAAGGAAGAAAGGAAAGGAATTCAATATCTATTTTAAGAAAATAGACTATAAAAATGCAAGAAGTAGAAATTAATACAGATACATGTAAACTGAAATAAAATATCAAAACTTTCAAAGGATAAATAGGTCAATTATCTAGGAAAAATGGTAAAATATATAAACCCCTTGGAAGTCTGATTATATAATAAAAGAGAAACTATGAGAAAGGAGAAATAACCACAGAGAAAGAAAAGACTGAAAGACTAGAAAGAGCCTGCTACTTGAATAATACAATTCACAAGATATGGCAGAGTAGAAAAACTGATTAAAGCGAACTACCAGAGAAGAGTTTGGAAAGGTGAGTCACCTACAATGAAAAATATGTTAAAACAACAACTTGCAGCCAAATATTCTATAATTTTTAAAAAACAGATAAATAAGTTCAACGTTATTTAAATTATGCAAGCCTATACAAAATAATGGAATTTTATAATTGCTTTCATGAAATCAGCATTATTTTGATATCAACACCTGATAAAGATACTATATAAAAGAAAACTGTGGACAAATCTTAATAGTGGGGCAAAATTCAATAATAGCAATAGTATTCAGCTTTGTATCAAGGGATGAATACACTGACTAACCAGGGTTTATTTTAAGAATTGAAGGATCATTTATATCAGGATATTTTAGCATTGATTATTATAACCTGATAAAGGGAAAAAAGTTTGATTGTTATCAATAAATGCTAAAAAATATTTGGTAAAATTCTGCAATTGATTCTAGTTAGAATTATAAATAAATTGAGGACAAAAGGAAAATACTGAAGCATCACAAAGGCTACTTACCAATATTAATAAGCAAATCTTATTATAAATTGTAAAAATAAAAAACACTTCATTAAAGACGAGACGAGGTAAGGTTGTCCACTAATGCTATTCTTAACAGATCTTTTTTCAAGATTTAAACTGAAGTACTAAGATTGAAAAATAAAATAAAAACACATAAACTTTTGGTAATAAAGCTGTTTTTGTTAAGGATATAATTGGAGGTGGAGAAATCCCAAGGGATTCTTGTTTATATTTTTAAGTAGTTAATATGATTATCTGAACACTTTAATCTCTGGCTGTTTTTTCTAATCTAGAAGCACCGAGTAGAGATGGAAAGGTCACAAATTATTGGATATACAACAGCAACAAAAACAAAAGAATGCTGAGGAAAGAAATTTAACAAGAATGTTACGTTAGCTAGGTGAAGAAAATAATATACATCATTACATGACCTCATACATGTTGAACATCTCTAATCTGAAAATCCAAAATCCAAAATGCTCAAAAATTCAAAACTTTTTGAGTGCTGACATGACACTACAAGTCAAAAATTCCACAACTGACCTCATGTGATGGGATACTGTCAACACGCAGCATTGCCAAGAGAAAAAACAAAAACCCTTCCCTTTTTACTTCAGCTGCACTATATCTGTTCTATGCCTGCCCAGATTCCCCCATGCAAGGACTCCCATGAAGGGTAATAAAATGGCACATGTGCAGGCAAGATGCACCAATGGCAGGTTCCCCATGACGCCCTGCATGACGCCAAGACCTATGTGCATTACACACTGAGGTTTTTGTTTTGGCTTTTTCTCTGCTTGTGGTGTAAAGATATCATTGCAAATGTCAAAAAGGCCTGCAGACACCCCTATGGGTAACTCTGGTAAGAAAAAGAAAAAGCATTTATGTTTATCTATAGTACAGAAAGTTAAGCTGTTTGGAGAAACTGGAATGTGAAACGTCTTACAGAAGACGACAGTGTTGGAATGACTACCACATATGACCTGAAGAAACAAAAGGATAAACTGTTCAAGTTCCACATGGCAAGTGATGAAAAGAAGTTAATGAAAAACATAAAAATGCTGCATAAAACTAAAAATAAAGATCTCTGTTGTGTTTTTAAAGAGTGGATCCATCAGTGTGGCAATGAGCACATGTCACTTGATGGTATGCTGATCACGAAACGAGCAAAGATCTATTACAATGAAATGACAAGTGAAGGGAACTATGGATATTCAACAGGTTGAAGTTTGTTTGTTTTTTTTTATAAAGGCATAGTATTAAATTTTTAAGAAATTGTAGTGATAAAGCATCTACTGATCATGAAGCAGCAGACACATTCATTGATGAGTTTTTCACGGTCAACACTGCTGAAAATCTGATGTCAGAACAAATCTACGTTGAATAAACATTACCGTTTTACCATTATTACCCTAGAAAGACACCGACTACAGTTGATGAGACAGCTCATGCAGGAATTAAAGATGCCAAAGCCAGAATAACTGTGCTCGGATGAGCTAATGCAACAAGCACACCTAAGTGTAAACTTGCTGTGATAGGCAAAAGCTTGTGTCCTCACTGTTTTCAAGGATTTGATTTCTGACCAGTCTATTAGTATGCTAGCAAAAAGGCATAAATCACCAAGGCCATCTTTTCTGATTGGTTTCACAAACAGTTTGTACCAGTGGCTTGTTCTCACTGCAGGGAAGCTGGACTGGATGTTAATTGCAAGGTTTTGTGATTCCTTGACAACTGTTCTGCTCATTCTGCAGCTTAAATTCTCATAAAAAATAATGTGTATGCCATGTACTTTTTCCCAAATGTGATTTCATTAATTCAGCCTGTGACAATATATCCTTAGATCAACGAAAATAGATATAAAAACACTTTCTCGAACAGTATGCTAGCAGCAATGAACACAGATGTAGGTGTGGAAGATTTTCAAATGGAGTTTTGCTTTTGCCAACTCTGGAACACAGAGACTAAAGACACAGCGGTGGTGCATGACCTGTAGGTATGTTTAGTGATGATGATGAACAAGGTGGTGTTTTTGTTTTGTTTTTTAAGACAAAGTCTACCTCTGTCGCCCAAGGTGGAGTGCTGTGGTGCAATCTTGGCTCACTGCAACCTCTGCCTCCCAGGCTCAAGTGATTCTCATGCCTCAGCCTCCTGAGTAGCTGGGAGTACAGGCATGTACCACTGCACCTGGCTAATTTTTTGTATTTTTAGTAGAGATGGGGTTTTGTCATGTTGGCCAGGCTGGTCTTGAACTTCTGGCCTCAAGTGATCCTCCTGCCTTGTCCTCCCAAAATGCTGGAAGGTGGTGGCTCTTTGAAAAATACTATATGACAAGTCAGAAAAAAAAAAATAACCTGATGTCTGATCCCCTTACATGTGCAAAAAAAAACACACATGTAGTTCACTAGTAAGTTGAAAGAAATGGCTATCAAAGAAGTTTTTAGCATCAATAATGAGGCCTCAGTTGTTGATTCATTGATCTATGATGAAATAGACAAAATCATTCTGAATCAAGGTGATCATGATAATAGTGATGATGAAGACGATGTTTTTAACATTGCAGAAAAAGTGTCTATAGGCCTATAGAGGACATGGTGAAAATCTGTGATGGGCTTATTGAAGGACTACAGCACTGTGTATCTGTAACTGAAGAAGAAATCATGTCAGTGTGTACCATCATAGAGACCTCTAAGACAAAAACAGGTTGATAATGAGGCAGGTGACTCTGGAGGAAACGCTGAAAAAAGCTATACAGCAGAACGCCTCACCCTCTGTAGTGCACCCACTTCCAGGTCCCTTAATTGCATCTGATGTTTCTTCTTACTGCCACCCTCACCCCAAGTACAGTGTACAATAACTTTTTAATAAAAGCAGCATCATAAAAAAGAAAAAATAATACACCCAGCATCATAGGTGGAGATTGAAAACCTGCTCTTGTTTGTTGTAGCTGTTGCTTAACAGCTGATTCAGGTATTTTGGTGATGATACTATGCTGCTTAGTTACCCTGAACACGTAATGTTTTCACTGTATTAATGGCATGTCATTTTTACTGTGAAATGCTTCTGTGTGAATAAGTGCAAGAAAATGATTCCCTATTGGTAGCATATAAATTCAGAGTTAGGAATGATGATGATGCCAAACAATGACAGATTGCCTGCCTGGGTGGCTAAGATAGTGACACCTTTGCTTTCTGATTGCTCAATGTACACAAACTTTGTTTCATGCACCAAATGATTAAAAATATTATATAAGATTACCTTCAGGCTACGAGTATAAGGTGTGTATTAAACATAAATGAATTCTGGGTTTAGACTTGGGTCCCATATCCAAGATATCTCATTATGTATATGTGAATATTCCAAAATTTGAAAAAATTTGAAATCCTAAATATTTCAAGCATTTCAGATAAGGGATATTCAATCAGTATTTGAACATATCCCATTTTCCTGGGTAGGAAAATTTAATGTTGTAAAAAAATTAAAATAAATGTATATATAGATATATACATATATTCCAATTACAATCTCTAACTTACAGCAGGAGTTTGGTGTTGGCTTATTAAAAAGAAAATGGGTAAGGGATACTAGCCTTATTGAATATTGGGCATATCTTAATATCAAAAAATGCATATTGTATTGGTGTAGGAATAGGCAAATAGATTAGTCAAAAAGAAATAGCATGAACATCTCAGTTTGCAGATCTTCAACATAGGACAAGGCAGTAGTGAATACGATGTGAAAAGATGGTTTTGTAAACAAATGGCACAAGTACAACCTACCAGCCATCTGGGAGGTAATAAAAATGGAAGATCATCTAATATCAGATACAAAAATATATTCCAGATGGACTAAATAAAGCCTTAAGTGAAAAACAAGTGAACAAATGAACAAGAAGCTACAAACATTTTATTAAGAAGTTAGGAGGCTATATGTCCTTATAAATCAGTGGTTGGGTGATTATCAGAGTAAGTTCTGAAAAACTGGAAGATATTATAAATAAATGTAGTTTATTGCATATATAAATAAAAAATTTATATGCAAAATACTTCATAAAATTAACAATGATTAATTTGCAACATGATTTCTAATCTGATGACATACATTAACTACCTGCCAATATTTATAAAGAATGAGTTCCTACATATAGAAAAATGAACAGTTTAATAGAAGTTTGATAAAAACATGACTAAATGATTCACACAAAACTAAAACTTTAGAGGAAATAAACACATGAAAAGATGCCTGAATTTTCTAGTAATCTGAGAAATGCAAATATACAAATTAAAGTGACAAAAGATTATATGCATTAGACTAGAAACAATTAGAAGACAAACACATATATATCAGAGTTCTAGGCAAAAGAGTATTCCTGTCCATAGATTGGAGAAATCTTAGACATTAGAGTGTTCCTAAGAAGCAATTTAACAGCACTGATTAAAATAAAAATACAAATGTCCCTTCAACCAAACAATCTCTCAATGCTATGGAAATGTAGCAAATAAGGGACTAAGTACTAGGGTGTCTAGGGTGGCATTACTTACAGTGGCCAAAACTTAAGACATTGTAAATGCCCATCAGTAAGGGAAAGAAGCCTCTGAAAGTTAGTTTTCTGTTACATCTTTAAATAATTTTTTTTTAGTGTTCTTATATGCTGGGATACTTTTTATCCAGCAAAGAAATATATAGTACTCTTTTTATGTACACATGGGATACTTACAAAAGTGACTACATATTAGGATCCAAAGTTGATCTCCAAATTGAAAGGTGTCAGACAGAGAGATATTTGAAAAACAGTAAAACTGAAAATCAGCAATCAGAAGATAGCCAGACAGAACAACAACAAGCACAATGAAATAACAATAAATGATCAATAATTCTTGGATTTAAGATATAATGATAATTAAAAATACCTATAATTTAAAAAATTAAAAATCAACAAACAAAAGATAGCCAACAACAACACTGCCTAAATAATTCATGGGTTAATGGCAAAAATAATTAAAATTGTAAAATATTTATATGTAAAAAAAAGACAGTCTTTAACCTTTTTTTCACCTCTCCACCTCCTCATTTTTATGAGACATTCTTATATACGATATTAATGCATTAAGGTTTACAGTATTTTATCACATTTGCATTCTCTTATGAACCATGCTCCTCAGTTAATTGTCCTTAGTTGTATACTTAGATGAACTTGATGCTTGCCACTAGTTATTTTATCACAGCTTCTTTATGCATCTGTTGGTTGATTAAATTGCAATCCCAACGAGTTTCCTCTGAACTTCACTTCCAGGCTTATGGCTACAATCTACTCTGAGATTTCATATATTTGAAAATATTTCTCTCTTACATTCACATAGCAACAGCCAGTTGGCTGTGTATGAAAACATCTTGGTTCTCACATTCTTTCTCCAAGGACTTTGTATCTATTGATTGTTTCACTCTCTTTTATCATTTAATATTCCTATGGAGAAGGCTGAGGCCAACCTTATTGATTCTCCTTGCTGATACCTTGTTTTTTTATGGCTGGATCACCAAGGAAATATTTCTTTGCCTTAAAGTCTAGTTAAGGACATGACTTAGTATTAATGGCTGTGTATCAATATTTTCCTAGCACATAGCATAATATTCTAATGTACATATTCAAGTATTACTTATTTTTGAAAAGTTTACTGCTTCTATAATGGTGGACAATATAATTCAACTCCATTTTTTCAGGTTTTTATTCTGACAGAAGAATAGTATGTGTGCTAGATAACTTTTATAGTTATCATTTTCCACTTAATAATTAATTTTGCTCATTTTATCTTTTATACTACTGATAATGTTTTCTGTCATGTCTTTTCAATTTCTGCTTTCAATATGCCTTTCATTTTTCTCTCTTTGGTTTTTCTTCTTTTATTACTTTCAAGGAGAATAGTACATTAGAAACACTATATTTTTCTAGAATAGTTAACCAGAAGTACCAATTTATGATATTAAAATCCTTTGATCTTCTATGCAGACAATCAAATTAATTAGGGCACATGGAAACAAAAAGTCCAGTGGGCACCTACTGTATGATTTGCGGGAGAGGTGATTGGTGCTAAGAATGCAAACATCAGTTGTAATGGAGAGAAGTAGATATGATTTGGAGTAGAATACATGGGATTTGAAGATGGGTTAGATATAATAGGTGACATTTGGGAGGTGATTCTTTTTTTATTCATTTTTTATTTTTATTTATTTCATTTTATTTATTTATTTTTTTTAGACGGAGTCTCGCTCTGTCGCCCAGGCTGGAGTGCAGTGGCGCAGTCTCGGCTCACTGCAAGCTCCGCCTCCCGGGTTCATGCCATTCTCCTGCCTCAGCCTCCCGAGTAGCCGGGATTACAGGCACCCGCCACCACGCCCAGCTAATTTTTTGTATTTTTTTGGTTGAGACGGGGTTTCACCGTGTTAGCCAGGATGGTCTCGATCTCCTGACCTCGTGATCCGCCCACCTTGGCCTCCCAAAGTGCTGGGATTACAGGCATGAGCCACCGTGCCCGGCTGGGAGGTGATTCTTAACTGCAGTAGATTCATCCATATCATGCCTGATGACATCATTAAGATCATATTGAAATCTTCCACTCATTACGTATTTGCTCAAGATTATATAATCAACAAGAAAATCGATCAATAGCAAAAATTTGCAATACATTTTCCTAATCCAGTCATCAGTACCAGAAAAAAAAATCCTAATATTACACAAACCTTCCAGAATATTGAACAAGGGGGAACCTTTCCTAATTAATTTTATCAAGCCTATATAATCTTGGCTACAAAACCTGACAAGGACTACAGGTGAAAAGAAATTCCCAAGCTACTCTCACTTATGAACAGAGGTTCAAAAATCTTAAACAAAAGTATCTGTCTGAATATATAATTACACAAACATGATACAAGATGATGAGCAAGGTAAATTTAATCCCACAATCTAAAGTTGAATTTGTGTTTCAAAATATCATTAACTATTTTAAAAGATAAAACATGTAATCATCTTATTTAATGCAGATACAATGCTTAATAAAATTCTTCTCTATTCATGTAAAAATTTTGTAAATTGGGAATAGAAGAAAATGTACTTAACCTGGCAAATGATATCTATCAAATGAGTACAGCAAATATCCTACATAATGGTAAAACATCGAAAACATTGATCCTGGAAAAAAGACAGGGAGAGTCCCTGTCACCACATTATTTGATATTGGGAAAAAGATAATAGAATGGAGCATACAGGAAAAATAAACTACTGAGATTGGGAAAAAATATACCTTGTTTATGGGTTATTTGATTGTTTATGAAGAAAATACAAAAGAACTTCCAAACTAATTATGAAAATTATTAAATGACAAACATTGCTATGTTCAATATTAATATATAAAAGCAAATGCATTTCAGTAAGTAAGCAACAGAGATAGGAAATAAGAATAAAATTCACAAAAGCAACAAAAATTTAAAGCTACTAGGAAGAAATCTTTAAAAGATGTTCAAGTCTTTTAGGGAGACTATAAACAATGTTTCCTTTACAATAAGGAGACTTAAATAAAAGGAGAGATAGATCATGTTCATACATGGGAATATTCAATATAGTTAATACAATTATCCTCAAATTCATCTTGAGATTTGTTTAAAACCCAAATCAAAATTCCAAGTTCTTTATAGAGTTTGAGAATCTAGCTATAAAATTTATCGGAAATTGCTAACAAGTCAAATATAGGCACATAATACTCAGAAAATAAGAACACAGTGGGCGGGGCCAAGATGGCAGATTAGAAGCAGTGGAATCAGAGGCTCCCTCCAAAAGAACCATAATAGTATGTGAATCCTGCACCGCAAGCAAGGTATCCAGGTTCTCTCTTCACAACTGACTAGGCGGCCGGCGTGATCCACAGAGAGGAAGGAAGAGTAGTGTGGTGTGGTGTCCCACTTCAGAGCCACATGGGGCAGGGGAGCCCCCACCCCCTAGCCAAGAGAGGTGGTGAGTGAGTGTGCTACCCAGTTGGGAAAACCATGCTTTTTCCACGGAACTGTGCAACATACAGATCGGAAGATCCCCCTCACAAACTCACATCACCAGGGCATAGGGTCCCAATCCCAGAGCCGCACAGATAATCAACAGCCTTTCCGCTAGAATCTCCTTAAACCTGTCGAGTTCCCAGGGGGAGGGGCAACCAGCACCACAGCTGCAGCTGCCTGCTGTCTAAGCCATTAGAGCTCCTTGGGAGAGGGGGCAGCAGCCAACACTGGGACTCATAACTGCCTAACATGCTAAGCTCCCTGGGTGGGAGAAGGGCAGCATCCATCTCTATAGCTCCAGGCCACACATTTCTCCTGCTAGAACCAGGGAGTCTGGAAGGCTTGGTCCCAAGAGATATCCCCCACAGCCCAACACATGGGCTGTGTCAGACTGTGGCCAGAGCGTCTCTTCAGGCCTGACCCTGACTCATCCTTCCTCACTGGGTGGGGCCTCCCTGCAGGAACTACAACTCCAGCCAGAGGCTCAGGGACTGAACCCTGATCTCTCTAGATCTGATCCCGTAGGGGAAGGGGTGGCCACAGTCTCTGCAGACCAGCAGTTAGCCTTTCCTCCTAGTAGTTCTGAGGAATCCGGGCAGCCCAGACAAGTGGGTTTCCCCACAACGAAGCACACTCCCTCCACAAGGAATAGTCAAAGTGCTTTGTTAAATGGGTCCTGTTTCCCATGCCACCCAACTGTTTGAGACCCTCCAACAGGGGTTGTCGGACACCCTATACAGGAGCGACCCTACTGGCATCAGGTTGGTGCCCCTCAAGGCCAGAGATCCCAGAAGGAGCAGGCACCCATCTTTGCTGTTCTCCAGCCTCCTTGAGTGACATCTCCAGGCACAGGAGTGAACCAGATGAATCGGGCTTGAAGTGAACCCCCAGCAAACCGCAGAAGCCCTACAGAAGAGGGACCTGAACACTGAAAGTAAAACAAACAAACAAACAAACAGAAAGCAACAACAATAGCATCAACAACAAAAAAAGTCCCCACAAAAACCTCATTCAAGGGTCAGCAGCTACACAAACTCATGAAGCTGAGAAAGAATCAACAACAACAACAAAACACTGAAAACGCAAAAGGCCCGAGTGCCCCTTCTCCTCCAAATGATCGCAACACCTCTCCAGCAAGGGTGCAGAACTGGATGGAGGACGAGATAGACAAATTGACAGAAGTAGGCTTCAGAAGATGGGTAATAAAAACTCCACTGAGCTAAAGGAGCATGTTCTAACCCAAATGCAAAGAAGCTGAGAAACTTGATAAAAGGTTAGAGGAGCTGCTAACTAGAATAACCAGTTTAAAGAGGACTATTAATGACCTGATGGAACTGAAAAACACTGCACGAGAACTTCATGAAGCGTACACAAGTATCAATAGCTGAATTGACCAAGTGCAAGAAAGGATATCAGAGTTTGAAAACCACCTTGCTGAAATAAGGCATGCAGACAAGATTAGAGAAAAAAGAATGAATAGGAATGAACCAGGCCTCCAAAAAATATGGGACTACGTAAAAAGATTGAACCTATGATTGACTGGAGTATCTGAAGGAGTCTGGGAGAATGGAAACAATCTGAAAAACACACTTCAGGATATTATCCAGGAGAACTTCCCCAACCTAGCAAGACAGGCTGACATGCAAGTTCAGGAAATATAGAGAACACCACTAAGATACTCCAAGAGAAGATCAACCCCAAGACACATAATCATCAGATTCTCCAAGGTCAAAATGAAGGAAAAAATGTTAAGTGCAGCCAGAAAGAAAGGCCAGGTCACCAACAAAGGGAAGCCCATCAGACTAACAGTGGACCTTTCAGCAGAAATCCTATAAGCCAGAAGAGATTGGGGGCCAATATTCAACATTCTTAAATAAAAGAATTTTCAACCCAGAATTTCATATCCAGTCAAATTAAGCTTCACAAGTGAAGGAGAAATAAAATCCTTTCCAGACAAACAAATGCTGAGGGATTCCGTCACCCCAGGCCTGCCTTGCAAGAGCTCCTGAAGGAAGCACTAAATATGGAAAGGAAAAACCAGTACCAGCCACTGCAAAAACACACCAAAATATAAAGACCAATGACACTATGAAGAAACCACGTCAACTAGTGTGCAAAATAACCAGATAGCATCAAGATGACAGGATTAAATTAACACATCAGAATACTAACCTTAAATGTAAATGGGCTAAATGCACCAATTTAAAAGACACAGACTGGCAAATTGAATAGAGTCAAGATTCATCGGTGTGCTGTATTCAGGAGACCCATCTTATGTGCAGTGACACACATCAGCTCAAAATAAAGGGATGGAGAAAAATTTACCAAGCAAATGGAAAGCAAAAATGAAGCAAAGGTTGCAATCCTAGTCTCTGACAAAACAGACTTTAAACCAACAAAGATCAAAAAAGACAAAGAAGGGCACTACACAATGGTAAAGGGATCAATTCAACAAGAGGAGCTAAGTATCTTAAATATATATGCACCCAATACAGGAGCACTCAGATTCATAAAGCAAGTTCTTAGAGACCTACAAAGATACCTAGACTCCCACACAATAATAGTGGGAGACTTTAATACCCCACTGTCAATATTAGATCAACAGGACAGAAAATTAACGAGGATATTCAGGACTTGAACTCAGCTCTGGATCAAGAGGACCTAATAGACATCTACAGAACTCTCCACCCCAAATCAACAAAATATGCTTAGTGCCACATAGAACTTACTCTAAAATCAACCACATAGTTGGAAGAAAACACTCCTCAGCAAATGCAAAAGAACTGAAATCATAACAGTCTCTCAGACCACAGTGCAATCAAATTAGAACTTAGGATTAAGAAACTCACTTAAAACCACACAACTACATGGAAACTGAACAACCTGCTCCTGAATGAATACTGGGTAAATAATGAAATTAAGGCAGATATCAAGAAGTTCTTTGAAACCAATGAGAACAAAGAGACAGTGTACCAGAAGCTCTGGGACACAGCTAAAGCAGTGATAAAAGGGAAATTTATAGCACTAATTGCCCACATCACAAAGCTAGAAAGATCTTAAATCAATACCCTAGCATCACGATGAAAAGAGCTAGAGAAGCCAGAGCAAACTAATCCAAAAGCTAGCAGAAAACAAGAAATAACTAAGATCAGAGCAGAATTAAAGGAGATAGAGATACAAAAATCCTTCCAAAAAAACAAGTGAAACCAGGAGCTGGTTTTTTGAAAACATTAACAACATTGATAGACCACTATCTAGACTAATAAAGAAGAAAAGAGAGAAGAATCAAATAGACACAATAAAAAATGATAAAGGGGATATCACCATTGACTCCTCAGAGATACAAACTACCATGAGAGAATACTATAAACACCTCTAGGCAAATAAACTAGAAAATCTAGAAGAAATGGATAAATTCCTGGACAATACAATACGCAGTACCCTTGAAGAGTTCCTTCACATCCCTTCTTAGTTGTATTCCTAGGTATTTCCAGCTTTTGCCATTCAATACGATATTGGCTATGGGTTTTTCATAAATAGCTATTACTATTTTGAGATATGTTTCATCAATACCTAGTTTATTGAGAGTTTTTAACATGAAGGAATGTTGAATTTTATCAAAGGCCTTTTCTGCATCTATTGAGATAATCATGTGGTTTTTGTCCTTGGTTCTGTTTATGTAACAGATTACATTTATTGATTGCATATGTTGAACCAACCTTGCATCCCAGGGGTGAAACCGACTAGATTGTGGTGAATAAGTTTATTGATGTGCTGCTGGATTTGGTTTGCCAGTATTTTATTGAGGATTTTCACATTGATGTTCATCAGGGGTATTGGCCTGAAATTTTCTTTTTTTGTTGTGTCTATGCCTGGTTTTGGTATCAAGATGATGCTGGTTTTGTAAAATGATTTAGGGAGGAGTCCTTCCTCTTTAATTGTTTGGAATAGTTTCAGAAGAAATGGTACCAGCATATGCAGTCATAAAAAGGAATGAGATCAAGTCTTTGCAGGGACATGGATGAAGCTTGAAGCCATTATCCTCAACAAAGTAACACAGGAACAGAAAACTAAACAACGCGTGTTCTCACTCATAAGTGGGAGTTTAACAATGAGAACACATAGACACAGGGAAGGGAACAACACACACCAGGGCCATTGCGGGATGGGGGGTGAGGGGAGGGAACTTAGAGGACAGGTCAACAGGTGCAACAAACCACCATGGCACACATATACCTATGTAACAAACCTGCATGTTCTACACATGTATCCCAGAACTTAAAAAAAACACACACACACACACACACACATAGGAGGCTTGCCTTATAGATACTGAGATTTATTATGAATTAGAGTATTTAAGGCAGCTCAGTACTGGCACAGTAACAGACAAACCCCTAGAACTGCAAAGAGAGTCTCCAGAACCAGAGTCGTACATGTATGCACCTTTGGTATGTGATGGAGCTGCATTGCAGATCAGTAAGAGAATGCTGAGCCCTGAATGAAGAATCATTATAGGACAATTCAGAATTTTATTGAAATAAATATTTAACTGTAGTCTCACTGCATCTAATATATAGAAATCAATTTCAGATGGATTAAATACTTACTAAATGTTAACAGCAATACTTAAAAGGCTTAAATGAAAATTTGGAGAATACTTTAATGACCGTAGGGCACAAAGAGATTTCTCAAAAAGAACAAATCATAAGAGATAATACAAATATTAAATAAGACAAAATTACAGACCTTTTTCATTCACAGTTATCATGAAGAAAAGAGACAGAGAAAATATTTCCAGCACAAAAAATAAACATATTAGTACTCAGAATATATAAAGCAATCTTAAAAATTAATAAAAAAATGATAATCAAGAAAATTTGGCTAGGTGCGGTGGCTCACACCTGTAATCCCAGCACTTTGGGAGGCCGAAGTGGGTGGATAACCTAAAGCCAGGAGTTCAAGACCAGCATGGCAAACAGGGTGAAACTCCATCTCTACTAAAAATATAAAAAAAAATTAGCCAGGCATGGTGGTGCACACCTATAATTGCAGCTTCTTGGGAGGCAGAGGGAGGAGAATTGTTTGAACCCAGGAGGCAGAGGCTGCAGTGAGCCAAGATTGCACCACTGCACTTCACGCTGGGTGACAGGGTGAGACTCCATCTCAAAAAAAAAAAAAATTAAAGTGAATATAATCTTTAAACAGACGCTTCAAAGAAGAGGAAACTTGAATGACCAATTAGCCTCACTTTATCATGGTATGTAGCTCTGTTTACATTCATGGGTTTGGTGTGCAGATATTTTGTTGTTTTTGCATTTAAATTAATGATAGATGTTTGTGGGATTTTTTGCTTTATTTTGGTCTTTGTTTTGTTGAGCTATCATTTTCTGGTTTAGTATTTAGGGCAATAATAGACTTACAGCATGAGTTGAGAAATGTCCCCTTCTCTCCTATGTTCTGGAAAAGATTTGTAAAAATGATATTAATTCTTCTTTAAATTTTGTTAGATTTCTCCAATGAAACCATCTAGGCCTGAAGATTTCTGGGGGAAGGGGGGTGTTGGGAGTGGCTTTTAAATTACAATTTCAATTTCTTTGTTAATATGAGATGATTTATACTGCCTACTTCCTCTTAGAAGTTTGTAATTTTTGAGGAATTACTCCATTCCTTTTACGTTTTTGAACTTAGGAGTATATTATATATTATGCTTTAACAGTACTAGAATCTGTAGTGATGTGTCCTACTTTATTCCTGCTTTGACTATTTCTGTTTTCTCTCTACTTTTGTCAGTCTTGCTGGAAGTTTTTCAATTGTATTATTTATTTTAAAAACCATATTTTTGTTTCATCGATTTTTTTACTACATTTTTTTCTATTTTCAGTATCATTGATTTCTGCTCTTACCTATTATCTCCTTCCTTTTACTCACTCTAATTTACTCACTCTATTTTTCCAGGTTTTTTTTTTATTGAAAATTAGGTTATTAATTTGAGATGTTTTTTGTTTCTAATGTAAGCATTTAATCCTATAAATTTACCTCTTAACATTGCTTTAGACACATCACTCATATTTTCATCTGTTGTGTTTTTGTTTTCATTTAGTTACTTTAAAAAATTTCCTTGAGACTTCATCTTTGACCCATGGATTATTTAGATAGGCCTTGTTTAATTCCCACATTTTAAGAGATTTCTTGTTTTCTTTCTGTTACTGATTTCTAATTTGATTCCATTATGGTGTAAGAAAACACTGCAAAATTTCCATTGTTTTACATTTGTTGAAGTTTGTTTTATGGCTCAGAGTATAGCCTATATTGGTAACCGTTCTTTGAGCATTTGAAAAAATAGCTGTATTCTGCTGTTTTGGGGTGGAATGTTCTATATATGTCCATTAGATTCTGCTGATTGTGTTATTTAGATCTTCCATGTGTAAAGATTTTTTGAGAGAGGTCCCTACTATTAATATATTGCCCAAGCTGGTTTTGAACTCAACTCCTGGGCTCAAACTATCCTCCTGTCTCAGCCTCCTGAATAGCTGGGACTACAGGTGCCTGCCACTGTACCCAGCTGCACCCAGCTAGATCTTCTATATGCTTGATGATAATGTCTAGTTCCACAGGAAGCGATCGTTGAAGTTCTAATATTTAACTGTGGCTTTTTCTATTTTTACTGAGGTTCTGTTATTTGACGCATACACATTAAAGATTTTTATATAGAAGTTTAATTCTTTAAGCATTAATGCCATTTTTGTCCATATATATATGTATGTATACACATACTTATATTGCTCTTCAGTCTGCGTCACTAGATATTAACAGAGGCACTCCTGCTTTGCTTTTTTAAAAATGTTTTCATGGTATATCTTTTTCATCCCTTTACTGCCAATCTATCTATATTATGGAGATGAATTATTGTAAATAGTATTTTGTTGGGTAGTTTTTAGAAATCCACACTGCCAATCTCTACTTTTTGATTGGTGTACTTACACCATTTGCATTTGAATTAATTATTGCTATGTAAGAACGTAAGTCTGCCAATTCTTATTTGTTTTCTATTTGTTTCACCTGTTTCTCCTCGCTCAGTTAAACTTGTCTTGCCTTCCTGTAGGTTACTTGAATATCTTTAAAGGTTCTATCTGGATTTATTTATAGTGTGTTTGAATATATATCTCTCCGTAGTACCCAGAGGAATGGGTATTAGAGTATATACATATAACTTATTTTTTTTATTATACTTTAAGTTTTGGGATACATGTGTAGAATGTGAGGTTTGTTACATAGGTATACATGTGCCACGGTGGCTTGCTGCACTCATCAACCCATCATCTACATTAGGTATTTCTCCTAATCCTATCCCTCCTCTGTCCCCAACCCCCGACAGGCCCCCATGTGTGATGTTCCCCTCCTTGTGTCCATGTGTTCTCATTGTTCAATTCCCACCTGTGAGTGAGAACATGCAGTGTTTGGTTTTTTGTTCCTGGGTTAGTTTGCTGAGAATGATGGTTTCCAGCTTCATCCATGTCCCTGCAAAGGACAATAACCCATTCTTTTTTATGGCTGCATAGGACTCCATGATATATATGTGTCATATTTTCTTTATCCAGTCTAACATCGATGGGCATTTGGATTGGTTTCAAGTCTGCTACTGTGAACAGTGCCACAATAAACATACGTGTGCATGTGTCTTTATAGTAGAATGATTTATAACCCTTTGGGTACATACCTACTAATAGGATTGCTGGGTCAAATGGTTATTTCTAGATCTAGATCCTTGAGGAATCGCCACACTGTCTTCCAGAATTGTTGAACTAATTTATGCTCCCACCAACAGTGTAAAAGTGTTCCTACTTCTCCACATCATCCCCAGCATCTGTTGTTTCCGTTTTTGTCTTTGTTTTTGTTTTTATTTTTTTTGAGACTGAGTCTTGCTCTGTCACCCAGGCTGGAGTGCAGTGGTGCGATCTTGGCTCACTGCAAGCTCCACCTCCTGGGTTCACGCCATTCTCCTGCCTCAGCCTCCTGAGTAGCTGGGATTACAGGTGCCCACCACTGCGCCTGGCTAATTTTTTTTTTATTTTTAGTAGAGACAGGGTTTCACCATGGTCTCAATCTCCTGATCTCGTGATCCGCCCGCCTCGGCCTCCCAAAGTGCTGGGATTACAGGCATGAGCCACTGCGCCCAGCCTGTTTCCTGATTTTTTAATGATCACCATTCTAACTGGTGTGAGTTGGTATCTCATTGTGGTTTTGATTTGCATTTCTCTAATGACCAATGATGATGACGACCCTTTTTTCATATGTTTTTTGGCCACATAAATGTCTTATTTTGAAAAGTGTCTGTTCATATCCTTCACCCACTTTTTGATATATTTTTTTCTTTTAAATTTGTTTAAGTTCTTTGTAGATTCTGGATATTAGCCCTTTGTGAGATTGATAGATTGCAAAATTTTTCTCCCGTTCTGTAGGTTGCCTGTTCACTCTGATGATAGTTCTTTTGCTGTGCAGAAGCTCTTTAGTTTAATTACATCCCATTTGTCAATTTTGGCTTTTATTGCCATTGCTTTTGGTGTTTTAGTCATGAAGTCTTTGCTTATGCCTATGTCCTGAATGGTATTGCCTAGGATTTCTTCTAGGGTTTTTATGGTTTTATGCCTTACATTTAAATCTTTAATTCATCTTGAGCTAATTTTTGTATAAGGTGTAAGGAAGGGGTCCAGTTTCAGTTTTCTGCATATGGCTAGCCATTTTCTCGGCATCATTTATTAAATATGGAATCCTTTCCCCATTGCTTGTTTTTGTCAGGTTTGTCAAAGATCAGTTGGTTGTAGATGTGTGGTGTTACTTCTGAGGCCTCTGTTCTGTTCCATTGGTCTATATATCTGTTTTGGTACCAGTACCATGCTGTTTTGGTTACTGTAGCCTTGTAGTATAGTTTGAAGTCAGGTAGCATGATGCCTTCAGCTTTGTTCTTTTTGCTTAGGATTCTCTTGGCTATACAGGCTCTTTCTTGGTTCCATATGAAATTTAAAGTAGTTTTTCTCAATCTGTGAAGAAAGTCACTGGTAGCTTAATGAGAATAGCATTGAATCTATAAATTACTTTGGGCAGTATGGCCATCTTCATTATATTGATTCTTCCTATCCACAAACATGGAATGTTTTTCTATTTGTTTGTGTTCTCTCTTATTTCCTTGAGCAGTGGTTTGTAGTTCTCCTAGAAGAGGTCCTTCGCATCCCTTGTAAGTTGTATTTCTAGGTATTTTATTCTCTTTGTTGCAATTGTGAATGGAAGTTCACTCATGATTTGGCTATTATTGGTGTATAGCAATGCTTGTGATTTTTGCACATTGATTTTGTATCCTGAGATTTTGCTGAAGTTGCTTATCAGCTTAAGGAGATTTGGGGCTGAGATAATGGGGTTTTCTAAATATATACAATCATGTCATCTGCAAACAGAGATAATTTGACTTCCTCTCTTTCTATTTGAATATTCTTTATTGCTTTCTCTTGCCTAATTGCCCTGGCCAGAACTTTCAATACTATGTTGAATAGGAGTGATGAGAGAGGACATCCTTGTCTTGTGCCAGTTTTCAAAGGGAATGCTTCCAGCTTTTGCCCATTCAGTATAATATCGGCTGTGGGTTTGTGATAAATAGCTCTTATTATTTTGAGATACGTTCCATCAATACCTAATTTATTGAGAGTTTTTAGCATGAAGGGGTGTTGAATTTTATCGAAGGACTTTTCTGCATCTATTGAAAGAATCATGTGTTTTTTGTCATTGCTTTGGTTTATGTGATGGATTGTGTTTATTGATTTGTGTATGTTGAACCAGCCTTGCATCCCAGGGATGAAGCTGACTTGATCGTGGTGGATAAGCTGTTTAATGTGCTGCTGGATTCAGTTTGCCAGTATTTTCTTGAGGATTTTCACATCGATGTTCATCAGGGATACTGGCTTGAAATTTTCTGTTTTTGTTGTGTCTCTGCCAGGTTTTGGTGTCAGGATGATGCTGGCCTCATAAAATGAGCTAGGTAGGGAGAAGTCCCTCTTTCTCTATTGTTTGGAATACTTTCAAAGGGAATGGTACCAGTTCTTCTTTGTACCTCTGGTAGAATTCAGCTGTGAATCCGTCTGATCCTGGGCAATTTTTGGTTGGTAGGCTATGAATTACTGCCTCAATTTTAGAACTTGTTATTCGTCTATTCAGGGATTCAGCTTCTTCCTGGTTTAGTCTTGGGAGGCTGTATGTATCCAGGAATTTATCCATTTCTTCTAGATTTTCTAGTTTATTTGTGTAGAGGTGTTTATAGTATTCTTGATAGTACTTTGGATTTCTGTGAGATCAGTAGTGATCTCCCCCTTTTCATTTTTTTTATTGTGTCTGTTTGATTCTTCTCTCTTTTCTTCTTTATTGGTCTGTCGAGTGGTCTATATATCTTGTTAATCTTTTCAAAAAAACAACTGGATTCCCTGATTGTTTGAAGGGTTCTTCATGTTTCTATCTCCTTCAGTTCTGCTCTGATCTTAGTTATTTCTTGTCTTCTGCTAGCTTTTGAATTTGCTTGCTCTTACTTCCCTAGTTCCTTTAATTGTGATGTTAGGGTGTCGATTTTAGATCTTTCCCTCTTTCTCCTGTGGGCATTTAGTGCTATAAATTTAAACACTCTTTCAGCTGTGTCCCAGAGATTCTGATACGTTGTGTCTTTGTTCTCATGGGTTTCAAAGAAATTATTTATTTCTGCCTTAATTTCATTATTTACCCAGTATTCATTCAGGAGCAGGTTGTTCAGTTTCCATGTAGTTGTGTGGTCTTGAGTGAGTTTCTCAATCCTGAGTTCTAATTTGATTGCACTGTGGTCTGAGAGACTGTTTATTATGATTTCCATCCTTTTGCATTTGCTGAGGAGTGTTCTACTTCAATTATGTGGTCGATTTTAGAATAAGTGCTATGTGGTGCTGAGAAGAATGTATATTCTGTTGATTTGGGGTGGACAGTTCTGTAGATGTCTATTAAGTCCACTTGATCCAGAGCTGACTTCAAGTCCTGAATATCCTTGTTAATTTTCTGTCTCGTTGATCTAATATTGACAGTGGGGTGTTAAAGTCTCCCACTATTATTGTGTGAGAGTCTAGGTCTCTTTGTAGGTCTCTGAGAACTTGTTTTATGAATTTGTGTGCTCCTGTATTGAGTGCATATATATTTAAGATAGCTCTTCTTGTTGCGTTGACCCTTTTACTATTATGTAATGCCCTTCTTTGTATTTTTTAATCTTTGCTGGTTTAAAGTGTGTTTTATCAGAGACTAGGATTACAACCCCTGCTTCTTTTTTGCTTTCCGTTTGCTTGGTAAATCTTCCTCCATCCCTTTATTTTGAGCCTATGTGTGTCTTTGCACGTGAGATGGGTCTCCTGAATATAGCACACCAATGGGTCTTGACTCTTTATCCAATTTGCCAGGCTGTGCCTTTTAATTGGCACATTTATCCTGTTTACATTTAAGGTTAATACTGTTATGTGTGAATTTGATCCTGTCATTATGATGTTAGCTGCCTACTTTGCCCATTAGTTGATGCAGTTTCTTCATAGTGTTGATGGTCTTTACATTTTGGTTTGTTTTTGCAGTGGCTGGTACCAATTTTTCCTTTCCCTATTTAGTGCTTCCTTCCGGAGTTCTTGTAAGGCAGGCTGATATAGATATAACTTATTATGGCCTACTTGTATTAACATCTAACCATTTCTAGTGAACAGTGGAAACTTCACATCAATTTAGGTTTCTTTACCTACCTCAGTTTTCTATATCACCAGCTTGAGCATCACATGGTATTATAATTTTTGTTTCAGTCATCAAATGTTATTTATAAAATGCAGGAGAGCAAAGATAGTATATTTTATGTGGCCATACTTCCTTTCTGCTTTTCAATTATTCCATCTTCCTAATGTTCCAAAATTTCTTCTTTTATCATTTCCTTTTGGTTTGAAGAACTTTCTTTAGCCAGTCTATAAAGCTAGATTTGCAAGTAACAATTTCTTTTAGATTTTTTTTTTTGGTCTAAGAGTGTTTTTTTACCACTTCATTTATAAAGAATAGTTTAACCAGATATAAAATTCACAATTTATAGTTATTTTCCAGTACTATAGGATCTTTTCCTTTAGCACTAGATTCTGCTTAGAAAAATGTTGTACAATTTCTGTTTTTTTTTGTTTGTTTCAGATTTTTAAAACATCTTTGTTATTTGAATTGGTATTCCTCTATAGATGTTATATCTTGTCTTGGTGCTTTCAATATTTATCTTTATTTTTCTAAAGATTAATTATGAGATTTCTTGGTATGGATTTTTTTAGGTTTATCCCATTTGGGATTCCCTTAGCTCCTTGGATGTGTAGGTTTGTGTCTTTCACCAAATTTGGGAAGTTTTCAGCAATTATTTGTTCAAATACTCTTTCAGGCCTCCTCTCTTTTTCTCCTTTTCTGTGACTCTGATGAGTGTTGACCTTTTGTTATTATCCTATAGGACCCTGGAGTTTTGTTCAGTCTATATTTTCTCTGTTTTTCAGATTACATAAATTCTAGTGTTCTGTCTTCAAGTTTACTGATGCTATTCTCTCTTCACTTCCACTCTACTGTTGAGTCCATTCAGTGAGTTTTTAATTTCTGTTATTGTGTTTCTCAGTTCTGTAATTTCAGTTCAGTTCTTTTTTATAACTTCTATTTCTTTGTTAAGTTTGTATATTTTTTTATTTGTATCAAGAGAATTGATAATTAATTAAATTGTGTTTATGATGGCTGCTTTAAAATTCTTTTCAGATAATTCTAACATCTTGAGAAAAATCAGATGTTTGCATCAACTGATTGTCTTTTGTTTTTCAAATTGTCCTTTTTTGGTTCTTGGTATGACAGGTGATTTTCTATTGTACACTTGGCCTTTTGCCTATTATGTTAGGGGACTCTGGATCCTATTTAAATCTTGCATTTTAGCAGGTATTGATCTAAGTTTATAACGGTCTTCCCCTATTTTTGCAGACTGTGGTTCCAATGGCAGTTTAATTGTAAGAGGTCTTATAGTGTTATTTTCGTCTCCTCAGTTTATCTAGTGCCACCGAGTCTCTCACTGTTCTTCGCTGGAGCTCTCTGATATTCTTGGGGTGGGTGGGGAAATATTTCGCAGGCCAGGATACTGAGTATTTCTTAATGGTGGAGAAATGTTATAGGATCCTCTCCTGGACCTGGCTGTTCAGTGTTTCTGGGTAGGGAAAGAGCATCTCTTAGTTCATGGGGACAAAAATGTTTTCATGACCAGGGCACTTGGTTTGGTGGCATCTCTTTATTGGTTCTACACACCTGAACTGGTATTTGTGGGTGAAGGAAGAGTGTCTTGGGTTCATAGGTACAAAGAGGCTTTCCTGTACTAAGCTGCTTTCAGTAGCTGGGTCTCTGCGAGGGTGGCTACAACTCCTTGGTATCTCTTGGTGAGATTCCAAGAGACAGATGAGTCTTGGGCCTAGTGGAGGCGAGTACTTCTCCAGCTGCTAATACTTAGTGGGACTTAGAATATATCGCTCTTGTTCATGCTGTTGGGCTCTCCTGATGATATCAGAAGGATGCTCATTCAATCTGGAGGGAGAATGAACCTACCTGAATTGTCTTCTTTTGCGAAGTTAGGGGCTGAAAGTGTCAGTGGGTGGGCTTTCTCTGTTGAGTGGTTTTCCAAACCAGCTCCCTTCTTCTTAGCACCTTTCCTGGTTCTCTCTTGGCTGATTCTTGTGTGATTTACAGAGTTTATAGTAATGTTTAATGGGAAGGAGCAAGGAAATGAATTCTTGTCATCTTGTCCAAACTGGAAGTATCTTTATTCTCTTTTAACCTGTACATGTATTGTTTAAGTACCCTCCTGTTGTTTACGCAATTTAATAATACATTTTAATTTAATTTTAATTACCTTAGTAGGCTTAATATTTTCAGTCAGTCTGGTGCTACCTTATAACTTAATCTTGCTGGGTGTGGTAGTTCATGCCTATGATCTCAGCACTTTGGGAGGTGGAGGCAAAAGGCCAGGAGATTGAGACCAGCCTGGGCAACAAAGTGAGACCCCATCTCCACAAAAAATATTTTTAGAAAACTAAAAATAAAAAAAGTACTCTTGGATAACCATCTACAGGAAATACAAAAAAGTGTCTGTACATAAGTACGTTTTTTCTAACTGTAAAAATGAGATCCAATAAGCATTGTCAACAAGCTGTGATCATTCATCAAAACCATTACTTTATGCACAGTTTATGTGTAGTGTGTATCCTACCTATTCCATTACATTTGTTGTATTCTGAATCTTATAATTTGGTTAGAAATATAGATTGATGGTATTTGAGAACCATCTTATAAACTGTAATATAATTAGTAGGGTCTTTTTGTTGAGCACTTAATATTTATTTGTTGTTTAAAATAGATCATTCGAGTTTCTCATCATAACAGACCTGCACTGCAATCGTAGTATTATTATCCACATTATACGAATGAGAAAACTGTTGTCAATTTTTCCCATAACTTGTCTCTGATCACAGTTATAAAGTGACATGACTGAGATATGAGAACATATCTTCTTCCACAATTTATGTTCTTTACACTATATTACTTCCTTTGCACAAAGTGACAATATCAAGTCAATGATATTTAGAAAGAAAAATGTGTTAATAGGCTGACCTGATTATCTCATCCTCTTCTATTTTTTTTACAAATTCCATAATAGAATTTATATTTTCTTTTTATATTTAATTTTATATACTTAAATTTTTTGTTTTAAATTTGTACATAATTGTACATATTTATGAGGTACAGTGTGATGTTTGGATACATATATACATTGTGTACTAATCAAATTAGAGTGTTTATCATATCTCTTGCCTCATAAATGTATTATTTCTTTATGGTAAGAACATTCAAAATCTCTTTTTTTGAGCTATTTTGAAGTATAAAATACAATATTGCTAATCATAGTCACAGTCACCCTACTGTGCAATAGAACTAGAAATCAGAATTTAGTCCTTCTGTCTATCACTGTAACTTTGTATTTGTTCACCAACCTTTACCTGCCCCCTCCAATCCTTTCCCCTTCACAGCTCCTGGTAACTATTATTTTACTAGAATTTCTATATTCCTATTGAAACATATAAATGGCGAATAAAATGCTCCAAAAAATTTTTTTAAATGGAAAATATAAATTCCTGCAGAAACCAGGATTCAAAACACGTTTTTCTCTTTTCCTTGCTTTATTTTACTTTTAAGATTCTACTAGAATCAGAAATACTTACTGAAAATTGAAAACAGATATCTTATTGAGGAAAGTATATATCCCATTACATTTAAAGGATCTTTTTCCCTCAAGCTTAATATATGTAAGTGGACAGTAGAAATGGATTTCCTTCATTCCAATTGGGTTCTGTTACTCAGCTTGCTGTAAGGATTTTAGGGAAAATAAGATTAATTGAATACTTGGAACTATTTATGATAGTAACTGTTTTGTCAGCATATTCATAGAATTGATTTGTGGTTTATTATCGTAAAATGTTTTTTCTTAGTGTAAAAAATTTTTAAGTGCCTTATGAGGAGCAATTTCATTCTGAGATGAGGCATTGAAGGCAATTTACTTTTTTATATTCTTTCAAGTCACAAATGATGCTGTACCTGAGTAAAAGAGAGTGAATCCTATTTTGTCGTCTCACAAACTGCCTTTCATTTAGTGTCTAAGCTTCGACTTGTTAAAGAGTTTCTACACACGTTTTACTGAAACATACAAACATTTAAACAAAACTGGGTGCACATTTCACTTGGAGAACAAAGTTTAAAAACCAACTGACATACTTTAGCTTTTACATCTATAATATCTATAAACATCATCACTTCAGACCAAGAAAGAACTTCTTGCGAAAAAAGTTTAATGAAAGTACACCTGATATATTTTTATCATTTTCTTTCTTTAAAAATTGGAAGTAACTCTTCCCAGCATAGTATATCCAATGAAATAAACCTTAGCCAGATGTTTTATATCTCTTTGGGTTGTAGGTATCCAGCCAAATCTCATTTAGAACTCACCTTCTGAAAATGCTTGCATGATAATGCTTCCCTACAAAAATTTTTTAATCTTTTTAAGGCTTATGATTTTTATTTTTTCTTTTCTTCATAAATTAGCATTAATCCATGGACTCTAGAGCTAATGACTTTGAATCCCTGGCCTTTTGGCTATGTCTCTTCCTAGGATTTACTGCCGCACTCCGCCATAGGATTAATCTGCATAAGTACTTACCGCTTGGGTTATAAATTAACACCATTCAAGAAGAGGGCACAATCATTTACTGAATTCTGAGTTGTAATATGAAGTCAAATATCATCGTTGATTTGAATATAAAATTAAAAGCCAAGGCACTGGCTTGCCTCTTGAGGCTGGCACCTACAACCTCTCATAAAGAAATTTACAAAAAAGAAAAGCAGAAAGAAAGAAAGAAAGAAAAAAGACTGACTGATTTTCACTCTTTCTGTGGATGCTCATTTAGTGATTCCACGAACAATCCCTGAACTTAAAACTACTCTGTTTTTTGTTGTAATGATACACTTCTAGGCTATTTCCTACAGCGAAACACCATGTAAAGAGGTTTGGTGGTGCAGGTAGCAACTTTATTGAATAAAAGAAATGTAAAGCTATTTCAGTTTTCCCTGCTGCATACCATTCACAGATATGGAAATAATGTTATGTTGTGAATCTAGTTTCATGTTTTGTTTTTCTTATATACTGCAATTCAAGATTTCCTTCTTCATTGTCATAAATAGCATTCCTTCATGTGGCCTATTGCTGTGCATGAATACCAAGTTTTTCTCTGGCTCTTCCTGAAAACAATTGGGCCTGGTTGACATTTTTGGTGTATAGCAAATCTATCATTCTCTACATATACATTTGCACTTCAATCTAACAGACATTTATTAGGAATCTGATATGTGCCAGGTCACTGGTGTCAGAGTTCTCTCTGATCCCATCCAGTCTCAAGTAAAGTCATTATAAAAGTCAGAGTGAGAGGTGATAAAAATAAACCCAACTCTATTCCTATTCTCTACACTTTTCCTATTCTCCTCCTCCTGTAGCTGACAAATCCCTGAACAGTATACCAATCTAGTACTTCACTTAACTACAACATTTATTATACTTTATTTAATTACAGGCGAATGACGTCTCTGCAACCTGTTTTTGTTTTTATTTTGCACACATTTGTTTTAGAAGCAAAAATACAAAATATAAATATAATTACAATATACAATAAATAAAATAATTTTTGGACCTCTTTCCTTACTATTTTTAGTCATGGTAGCTAAAAACTGAACATTATCTGGCAATAATTATTGTTTGACAACAACTAATACAGGACAACAGATACAAAGATACAAACCTGGTTTTTGTTTTCCACTGGATGATGTGAATATACACATCTGCTCTCCTTGTGAGCTTTATTTTCAATTGTTTTGTTTATTGTAGTTAAAAAGATACATAGTAAAGATGCCCACTGTAACACTGTAAACTTAATATATTAGGCACATTCCAGCAATTCTCTGCAAAGTTTATCTCGTTAAACAAATGCCACTGACATGTTTATGTGTGTTCTAATTAAAAGCCATTATTAATGGGTTATAACTTGCTTTAAAAATATCTCTGGCATACATTTCACAAGTTTCGTTTCATTTTAATCCAATGACATGCTTTCCATATTATTTTCCATGTAATTAAAGAGATGTTACTCTCATTTCCTCTCCAGTGCACCGATGTTTTAACTATTGAAATTCTAACTGACATTGTTCATTTGTTAGATTGTAACTATTAATTTTATGTGGCTGGCATTTTCCTAATTTAAGTACCTTGTGCTTAATCTTCACTGAGGTCACACAACTTTTTATGGAGATATTAGAAAGTATGAGTTGTTCTCATTTTTTTTCCTAGGGGCTTAAGTTAGTGCAATGCTCTTAGTTAGCATCCTATAAATGATTGTTGGATTAGTGAGTGATGGTTACAGGGATTAAGACTATCAAACCTTTCCCATCTTTTGGTTCTTCATTCTGCTTTCCATTAGATTATCAGAAATGCTGTGTTTCTTCTCTGCTTGAAAATGCAGCTGTACTAATCCATCTGGTTGCCTTCATACAGATATATCCATAACCTACTCATTCTTTAAATCCATTTTAAATTAATGATTGTGGACATTTAATTTTCAATAAAGCCTCAGCAAAGCTCCAAGCACTTCTTCTTTGTATTTAGAAACTCAAATGGTGGTAAGACTATTGCATTCATTCAATTAGATATTAGTGGATTCATTGGAGGTTATTGAAATAAACAAAACAATTGCATTTTGCAATATTGAATAGTGTCAGCGATGGAATTGATGATTTTTTTTTTGTACAAATTTGTTCTTCTCATGAAATGCTATGATTCTCAGGGAGGAAGTCACGGGAAGCCATGCCTGTGCAGACAGGCCCCATTATCCTTGCAGCAAGGGTGCTCCATCACGTAACTTTATCTGTTCTGAAGATTGGAAAATCCAGGATGCAGTGGATTTTCAAAGAGCCCATCTGTGTTGTGTTTCAGCTCTCAGTCGCTGGCCCCTCTATCCTCAGTGAAAACTAAATCTCCATGATGTGCTAGACGGCACGGGCTGGATTATTTGTATTACAGGTAATTTTCTGGTCACCCACAGGTGGCCAGAGCATGGTCAGCAAGCAGTGGGTTGATTCTGTAAGCATTTTAGTAAGTTGAATATTAGCCGTGACTTAAAGCTGATAGGGTTGTTGGTGGTGGTAGTGGTGTGTTGTTTTTTTTGTTTGCTATTGTTTGTACTTTCATTTTTTATCACAACCCTCTTCCTCTGTTCCATGTGAATGTCCATAATTTATTGCAAGGGAAATACATGCGATTCTGGTAGAAACCAGATATCCCAGAGAATGTCATCTTGAATGGAATTAAAGTTTTTAAAATGATATGATTATCACAACGTTTATTTCCTTCTCCCATTTCAGACTCTTAAAAACTATTAAGGGAGATATTTTCAGCTCATTCATGGTCTGTTACTATGAAGTCAGGAAGAGTTTGATTTTAAAGATTATGGAATTTCAGATGGAACGAATTTAATTGAAAAAATTATGCATCTATCTGTAAAGAATGTAGAAGAAAAATGAATGCTCACTATTTTGCTGAAATGTCACAGGAGGTGTCCCATGAAAAGATCTTGCTCTTGCCATATTTGACAAAATTTAATTTGTTTGAAGGCAGTTTTTTGAGGTATAAAATTTAAAAATTCAATAAAATGCCTCATCATTTTAGGTACACATTTTTATAAATTTTAACAAATATATATTATCAGGCTCATCCAAATAAAAATACACATCATTTCCTTCATACCAAAAAAATTCCCTCACTGTTCTCTACCTTTCCATCAGTTTCCTCTCTCCACCCCCAGACCCTGGCAACCAGTGGTCTGCTTCCTGGCCCTATATTTTTGTTATCATCACAATATCATATAAATGGAATTATACGGCATTCAGCATTTTGGGTTTTGCTTTGTTCACTAATCCTGATACATTTGAAATTCGTAAGTCTTTTTGCAAGAGGGTAAGTTTGCCTTATTACTAAGTAGTATTCCTTTATATGGAGGTAACAATATTTGTTGATCGCTCCCACAGTCAATCGACATTTATTTCCAGCTTTTAATGATTATGAACAAACTTCCTATAAACATACGGATACAAGTTTTTGTATGGAGATATGTTTTCATTTGTTTTAAATAAATTTAATTGCTGAGTTGTATGGTAAGTATATATTTAAATTGATGTGAAACTGCCAAGCTGTTTTCCAAAGTGGTTGTACTATTTTTCATTGCTACCAGGAATTCATGAAGTTTCTGTTGCTCTATAGTTTTAGCAATACTTGAAATTTTTGTCTGCATTTTACAATACTTATAGGCAAGGTAATATCTCATTGCAGTTTTAATTTGCATTATCTTAATGACTAATGATGTTGAGCATCTTCTAATATCTATGTAGAGTTTTTGGTAAGCATCTATTCAAATCTTTTGCTTGTTTTTAAAAACTTATACAAAAACAGGCACCTAGACTGATGGAACAGAATAGAGAGCTCAGAAATAAGGTTGCACACCTACTACCATCTGATCTTCAACAAAGCTGACAAAAATCAAGCAATGGGGAAAAGGCTCCCTATTCAATAAATGGTGTTGGGAGAACTGGCTAGCCATATGCAGAAGATTGACGTTGAACCCCTTCCTTATACCATATGTAAACATCAATTCAAGATGAATTAAAGACTTAAATGTAAAATCCAAAACTATAAAAACCTGGAAGACAAACTAGGCAATACCACCCTGTATATAACAGGCAAAGATTTCATGACAAAGACACCAAAAATGATCACAACAAAAGCAAAATTGACAAGTGGGATCTAATTAAACCGAAGAGCTTCTGCACAGCAAAAAGAACTATCAACAGAGTAAACAGGCAACCAACAGAATGGGAAAACATTTTTGCAAACTGTGTATCCAACAAAGGTGTAATATCCAGCATTTATAAGAAACTTAAATTATACAAGAGAAAGACACAACCCCATTAAAACAGTGAACAAACAGACTTTTGGAGAGATACTTTTCAAAGAAGACCAACAAGCATATGAAAAAGCTTGGCCAACAAGCATATGAAAAAAAAAAGTTCACTATCACTGATCATTAGAGAAATACAAATCAAAACTACAATGAGATATCATCTCACACCAATCAGAATGGCCATTATAGAAAAATAAAAAAATAGCAGATGCTGATGAAGTTGCAGAGAAAAGAGAATACTTATACACAGTTGTTGTGAGTGTAAATCAACCTAAATCCCCATCAATGACAGAGTGGATAAAGAAAATGTGGTACATATACAACATGGAATACTATGCAGCCATAAAAAAGAATGAGATAATGTCTTTTGTGGGAACATGAATGGAGCTGGAGACTATTATCCTTAGCAAACTAATGCAGGAACAGAAAACCAAATACTGAATATTCTCACTTATAAGTGGAAGCTACATGATGAGAACTTACGAACACAAAGAAAGAAATAACAGACACTGGGGTCTATTGAGGGTGGAGGGTGGGAGGAGGGAGAGGAGAGAAGATAAGTATTAGTACTGGGCTTAATACCTGGGTGATGAAATAATCTGTACAACAAACCCCCATGACATGAGTTTACCTATGTAACAAACCTTCACATGTACCACTGAACCTAAAATAAAAGTTAAGAAATAAAAATAAAATTTTGGTTGTTTATTATTGAAATATTAATTAATTGGCTATTAATTATTTATTCTGGAAACAGGTTATTTATATTTAGCACGTAGGTGTTTTATAAATATTTTCTACCAGTTTATGGTTTTCTTATTCTGTTTATGGCATCTTTCGAAGGGCAGAACCTTTTAATTTTGGTAAAGTCCAATTTGGCAAACTTTTCTTTTGTGATTCCTGTGTTTTGTCTCCTATCTAAGAGATCTTTAATTTTTCCTAACCCAAGATCTCAAAGAGCTATGAAAAGTTTATATTCAAAGCCTTGAGGAGAGTTTGTAAGGCACGTTGATCATGGATACACAGCAAGCCTGGAGAAAGTGGGCTCTGGAACCTGGCCTATGTCACCTAGTGGACCAAGAGAAACCAGGGTGGAACTGACCAGCCCCCAGAGTTTGACTGCCCAAGGAGAAGCAGATAGGTAGACACAGTGTCCAAAAAAGACAGAGCAAGCTCACATGTGATTCAAGTAATGGTCAATATCAAGGAGTCAGAGGACAGAAGGATGGGGATGGGGTGAGCGTGGAGTAGAAACTCAAAAAATGTGCCCCCTGTTGTCAGGAAACCACATGGCCTGATGAAGCACAGCAAATATCCATTCCTCAGAGAGAGAGCTGAGAAATAGTTTCCTAGCATTCACTTCTAGGGAAACAATTCCAAGACTTTTGGGGTGCAATAGGAAAGCCTGTGATTCACTCTCCTTTACAAGCTCACAGGTCTTAAAGCACCATTTCTCAAAGTGTGATTTCAGGACCATCTGCCTCTGAACTACCTGGGAGGTCATTTGTTATGCAGATTCCTGGGCTGACTTGCACCAGCTTGCTGAATCAGAATTGTTTGGAGGATGGCAAGTAAGTCTCTGGACTTTTTACAAGCTTTTCAGGAGACTGCTAAAAAACTCCAGTAACTTAAGGTATAACAACTATTAAAAACTAAAGGAATGGGACCAAGGAAAGATGTGAAGAGATGCAGCTGTGTGTTTTTATGTTTTTCTTGGCTTTGGATGAATTGTCACAGGAGCTGAAGCTGTGTCTGATCTAGAAGTAATATAACTTAGTATTATTTCTGCAAGGCAGAAAATGGGAAGGGGAAACTACTCTTTTGAATGTATACATAAGCTGGCAATATATTATGAAATATATATTAGCTAGCTGAATAGATGTAGATATAGATGGAAAAATAAATGAATATAGACAGAGTCATTTGCACCAATGGAGGAGTCAGTAACCACTGAAACAATATAAATATAATAATCAGAACAATGTTTTCACTGAAAGATTTTAGGTTTTGTTTTGAAGAAAATGCTTCATTTCATCATTTGAAGTGGCAGCACCTCTCAAGGTATATCAAAAATTTATTAAGTATTTATGTTATATATAATATTTAATTGCAACAACATGAAAATAATAAATGTATTCCAGTACCTGACATCTGGCACATTAATTCTTAATCAAAACTCCTAAAGGCTATTTTTTAATTTTTCTCTTTTACTTTGGTTATTATACAATGCCTATTTATAACAACTTTGTTTTTAATTTCCTGATTTTACGCATATAAAATGAATCACCATAATGCAAGTGAGAGTTTATAAACATGAATAAAAATGAGTGGAAATATGCTGTGTGAAATAAAATGGCAAGCTATTTTAAGTCTAAGTTCTCACCTAAAAATATCAATTATTATAAGTCATTTTTGTTTAAATAAAAAGGAAAAATAACCATAGGTGATTTTCTTTTCAGTGCAAATCCATGAGGACATCACAGCCCTGATTTCTAGGTTAGTTCTGACTATTACACAAGTGAAAAAAAAAAAAGACCTTTGCCCTTGCAGACCGTTTTGTTTCTAAGTCCTACCTCAGTAACTCACCCAAAATGAAAAACAGATCTTGGGGCTGTTTTAGCATTATTTTAAGCCACATTACTGCATACAAGTGAATTTTGTTTTGCTTTGGTTTTGCTGTAGCATAAATTAACAAGGTGTCAAATGAACATCATGACCCCATTTTTATCTCCAGCAGACTAAATTCAGAGCTGAGAACAGGGCCGCCTTCTGCAGCTCAGCGAAACTGTACGTGGAAAATTTCACAAGCTCAGCTGGTTCTTGGGGACAGCAAATCTCCGGTATCCTGATGATCATCTGGTAAGAACATTTCCACACTTTGTGACTCACGCGAGCCTTGATCTCATGGTGCTTTCACTGTCCACTAATCATATTTGAAACCTGTGCTTCCTCTGCCGAGTGTGGAGAATCTACCGTAAAGAAAGTGCCCTTTCAGCTGTAGTTTTTCTCCACACAGCACTACCCTGATTTTGGAAAGAGCTCAACTCTTCATCTCCCCTGGGCACATAGAACAGCAGAATGGAAGAGTGGAAACTGCCAAAACGCTAATCATGGAAAAAAAAAAATAACAAGATCCAGATGGGACAAAATGGACATATTTCATTTATCCTGGGAAACTCTACAGTATATCATTTGAGATGCATAACACACCCAGCCTTGGCCCTTTATAAACAAACACTACAGAGGCATATGCCACAAGATTATAAACAGAGTTGGCCATAAATTTCATAGGACCATACATTCAGCGTTGCACACATGGCTGCGGCTTATTCAGCGGGATCCGGAGGCTCAGTCTGTTCCCTTGGCTGCTAATCAATTCTGTAATCTCAGCTCACCCAAAGGGGCAGAATCCCAGAGGGCCAATTCACCCTAATGAAACTCACAGGCATTTCACACCAAAAGAAACTACAGCTCACTTTGACTCGGCCCATGCCTGTGCTAGGAAACCATGTTTATGATGCCAAGGTTTTTGAAGGGCTAGAAAAGCCGTTCTTAACCTTTAGTGGGCAGAAGTGGGTTGCTTAAAAAAGCAGAGATTCCTTGGTTTCCAGTTCCAGCTCTCAACTTCAATCCGTCTCTACTAATTCAGTAGATTTGGGCTCGAGTTTTACATCCACCTTTTGAACAAGCACTTCAGGTGACTGAACTAGTGGTTCTAGAAAACACACTTGAAGAAACACTGAAATACATCAATTATTAGGAGACTGCTTTTACGGGTATGGAAGATATTTCTAAGAGTCATCCCATTAGCCTTATTCAGGAAGGAAACTGTCC
The DNA here is from genome assembly GCF_000001405.40 of Homo sapiens. Taxonomy (NCBI): domain Eukaryota; kingdom Metazoa; phylum Chordata; class Mammalia; order Primates; family Hominidae; genus Homo; species Homo sapiens. The sequence continues at coordinate 23,004,760 of NC_000006.12, forward strand.
TCCATTCTGAAGGAGTGGCATAAATATAAGGTGATAGGCTATAATCGACCTCTTGATCAGAATCCCAACGATGTTTTCCAAATTATTATATGCATTAACTAGTACTATGCACAAAGAGGGATTTTTAATCACTAATTTCTGATACTTTATGTGCCCTGCTTCACCCTTACATTCCCTACCCTGTGGCTTCTATGTAGTTGAATTGTTTGTATGGTAATTCCCAGAATCACCTTTTCTCTGTCCCTACAGGAAAGAGCAGTGGACCATGAGGAAACCCAGCTCAGGGTAAGTTAGCTAAAGATCAGACTTCATGAAAATTACTTCGTCTCTCCCTTCCAGATCAATCATTCTGGAACTCAAGGGCTACGTAAAACTGCATGCAGTTTGAAGCACAGGGTGGGGAAATACAAGGAATTTGAAGTTCCAACAAGCTTAGAACTGTGAGTCAGTGGCCCTTGGTGGCAATGGACTCAGAAGGGCAGGGGCTAACTGGTGGCAGAAGGTATAGAGGCTACATCACCCACTCCTCCCCAGGAAAACTCAGAATACGTGGGTGAGATGGAAGCAAGGAAATGGCCCTGCACCTTCACATAATTTGTTTTAGTCTTGGCTTTGCCTCTTCGTTAACTTATAATTTTATTTTTGTTTTTGTCAAAGATGGATTCATGTCCTTTTAATGTGCCTGGCATGTATTATTTTTGGACTTATAGAAGGCACTGCCTACTTAGTTGCCTTCTGTTTCCTTGGCTCTTGGCTCTTCAATCCTATGGACTTCCCAAAACAGTGATTATAAGAATGCCAGGACACCATAGGTGCCTATGTCCCATCTGTAATGGAACTGTCTAGAAGCCTCAGCAAATAGAGCATAATGATCACATGGAACTATGATGTATCCTGTCAACTTTTCTCTGCTTCAGCTTTTTATTTTATTTTATTTTGTATTACCTGTTATCATGACTCATTATAGTAAAGTCCTAGATGAATCATGGCTCATCTTCATAAATCTTGGTATCTTCATCCAGAATAAGTTCATAACTGAGACAGTGGTCTTTTTAAGTCATTTTCTAAGGCCTTGAAATCAAACTGCTAAAAGTTCTGTGGTGTAAGAGTAATATATTTTAATTTCTCCATACATTAGCTTAACTTCTACTTTGTGCCCACTTCTTCTTTGGTGGGAAAATAAACTATGGTCAACAAACTACTTTATCTACTTCCACTTTCTCGGCATGGCATCTAAATTCCAGGGGCTTTCATGGTGCCATGCTTGGGGGTTAGAGGCATCTGATTCTTGGTGATCATCATTGCAGGCTGTCTTTTCAGCCGTATTTCATCTCATCTCCTCCCTAGACTACAACCATGCAGGGACCTGAGGATATATCCCTTGCTTCGGGCTATAGCAGTTCTCCAGTTCCAGCTCTCTGACAACTGCTACCATCCACCTATCAGGCATTGGGAACGCTTAGCTGCTTTCATTTAGTAGACTGGGACCTGCGAAACACTGTGAGCTCTCAGGGCCATCAAAGGTTCTTTAACAATTTTTTGCTCTTCTAGGGTGAACAGGAAATCCTTCAGATAACATATGGAACTTGCCAGTTTCTTAGAATGTTCTGTGTGGCTGGTAGACACACTTTGTGTGTGCTTTTATTTCCATACCAATCCAAGAATTCTAATCTTTGGGGAGAGTGAGCTTGGGGAGAGAGGTAAGGTACAGGGACTTTTTTATACCTTTTTTTCCATTTCTCTTTTTCCTCCTACTCTTTCTCTCCTTCTTCTTATTCAGAAAATTTTATCTAGACTCTAGAGATTACAAAACATTATTCCGATTTTGTATTCTTGCATCCTTTCAAATCTACTTTGTTCCTGGGTAATAGGTTTTTTTTTTTTTTGTTACTGTTTTTGAAATTCAAAAGCCAGAACTTTTTTGTTGCAGCCTTCAGCATGATACCTCTCCTAAGGCAATGCTGGCAGAATGCCTGTGTTGTAATTGGTTGGGGTCAGGGTGAGGCAGAGGTTGGGAAAAATGAGAGGTGCAGAAATAGTGGAAAAACCATATTGGCTAATAAACCTAAATATTTTCTCACTACCCTTATTTGTGATCTCATCTGAACATATTTTTAGGTTTACAGGAAAAGCACAAAGAATGGTAGAGTTGATGTGCTGGGGGTCAGTGAGCGTGTGACCCAAATTAATGAGGTTGATTTTTTAAATGTGCTTTGAATTTAGGTTTTCATTCTGTTTCCATAAACAAATTATATTTAATTTCACAGAGGCATAAACTACATGAAATGTTGAACAGACTAGATCATCAGTACAAGAAAAAGTGCTTTGTTTTGGAAATTTTGAAGTTTAAAGGTGTATAAATGACACTTAAATACCAGCCATGACGCTTTATCATCAGCATTTGTCTTAGTTTGTGGTCTCTTAATTCATTTTGATTCGAGGCATCACAATTTATTTTTATTTTCTTTAGAAATATTTTCCTCATCTAAGTCCCTAAAGTCACGGAAACCTATGTTTCCATCTCCTCCTCGATGAATCTCCTAGGAGTGAGCATGAGGTTGGCAATGCATTTGGTGTAACAGAAGACCCAACTCCTGGCATGAGAGAGAAAACAAGAGTTGAGGTCTGTACTGAGTTTACCCAAAGCTAAGGATAAGAAAATGGAAGCAATTATATCAAGAAAATAAGTCTCCCATTTCATGTTCTATTTTAGGCACATTAGAATTAGAAAGGGAAATTCCAAGATTCACTATGTAATTTGATTTTTGCTCCTAAAACTTTCAGGTAGTGCAAATTATTGATATGTATTGACTGAAATAAGTATTTATCTATCTAGAGAATATATATCTATATATAATAGTGTGTGTGTATATATATATATAGACACTGAATAGTATACATACTAAATAGTATACATATATATACTTAGTGTTATTTATACATATATACTTATTTAGTAATACTTAGTGTTATTTATACATATATACTTATTTAGTATTTAACATACACACTTATTATTACTTACTATCTGTTACATGCTAATATTTACACTTAGATGAAGCTTACAAATAGATTTTGACAGTACTCTTAAGCAACCCCATTCTTGGAATACTTTATTAGAGAACACGGGTGTCCAAAATATATACTTTTTTGTTCTTGGAGGTAAAAAGGAAGGAAAAGAGGAAATTAAGATATGTTGCATACTGTAACTACATGAAAGGCATTAACATTCATACTTTCAGTAAATATCTATTGACTTCAGTATGCACCACGTATTTTTGGGAGAGGTTATTCTATTAGTCCATTTTCACACTACTATAAAGTACTGTCTGAGGCTGGGTAGTTTATATAGGAAAGAGGTTTAATTGACTCACAGTTTTGCATGGCTGGGAGGCCTCAGGAAACTTACAATCATGGTGGAAGGTGAAGGGGAAGTGAAGCACCTTTTTCACAAGGTGTGGAAGGAGAAGTGTCAAGCAAAGGGGGAAGGGCCCCTTATAAAACCATCAGATCTCCTGAGAATTCACTCACTATCATGAGAACAGCATGGGGCGAAATTACCCATGACTCAATTACCCCCATGATTCAATTACCTCAACCTGGTCTCTCCCTTGACACATGGGGATTATGAGGATTATGGGAATAACAATTCAAGATGAGATTTGGGTGAAGACATAAAGCCTAATATTAAATGTACACTGGTGAACAAAAATATATATAGTCCTTCCTCTCACTGAATTTACAGTCTTGCAATAGAATGTTCAATCAAATTGTCTTACCAGTTAAATTAAAATTATACTTGTGGAAAAGGTAGGGAAGGAGAAGACATGGGGCTATACGTTCTATAACAAGCTTGTCCATGGCCCGTGGGTCACATGCAGCCTAGGACGGCTTTGAATGTGGCCTAATACAAATTCATAAACTTTTTTAAAACATTATGAGATTTGGTTGTGATTTTTTTTTTTAGCTCATCGGCTATTGCTAGTGTTAGTGTATTTAATGTGTGGCCAAAGACAATTATTCTTCTTCCAATGTGACCCAGGGAAGCCAAAAGATTGGACACCCCTGTTCTATAATCAAGAGTGGGGTTGCTTGAGAGTACTGCCAAAATCTATACATAAACTCCATCTAAGTGTAAATACTGGCATGTAACAGATAGCAAGTAATAATAGTAATAATAATAATAGAGTAATTTGGGGGTACTTTCAACAGTTGTACTGATTCTCTTAAGGCTTAACTGTTAGCTACCCTGTTCTCCCCCCAGGAATATTCTAGATCATCCCAATCTAGAACAGACCACAATCCAATAATGAATGCCTTGGAATCTGTAGGACATTGATTCAGGGGCTGGCATGCATTTTGACTGGTTGTTCCCCATGCCATACTTGCTGAACATTTTTATGTCACCCTCGCCATACAGAAAAGTTTAAAATACAATTTCCTGAAAGGCCATTATCACTGCTAAGCAGAAAAGCTAAAGTTTCTAAAGAGAGAAGCTATAATTAGGCCTTACCTTGGAAAGTTTTCGTGGTAGGAAGAGTATATTGAGGAAATAAATATGCACAAGGCCCTCTTGTGTGAAGGATCAGAGCACATAGATCTGCAGAATAATTAGGTCAGTGTGGCTAAGGCACACAGAGGAATATGAAATATGATACAATATGGCTTGAAAGCAGATGGGAGTCTTATAAGCCCTTAAAAGTCACACACATATTTTTGTGTCTCGAGAGAAAGAAAAGACAATAAAAGGATTTGTGTAATGGGTGGTGTGATGGTAAATTTTATGTGTTGACTGAGCCATGGAGTGCCTAGATATTTGGTTCAATGTTATTCTGGGTGTGTCTTTAACGGTGTTTTGGATGAGACTATTATTTGAATTGGTAGACTGAGTAAATCAGATTGCCCTCTCTAATGCAGGCAAGTCCTTGTTATAAGTAAGAGGAGGCTTCTCTTCTTGATTGCTTTGAGCTAAGACATTGGTCTTTTCCTGCCTTCAGACTTGAACTGAAACATGAGATCTTCTGGATCCTGGAGCCTGCTGGCTTTTGGAATGGAGCTACACCATCAGCTCTCCTGGTCTCCAGCTTACTGGCTGCAGATATTAGGTCTTCTCAGCCTACATAATCACATAAACTATTTTTAATAATAAACCTCTTTTTATATATCTACATCTCTCTTTCTCTCTCTCTCTCTTTTCCTTTCTCTTTCTCTCTCTCTCATCTTCTATTTGTTCTGTTTGTCCGGAGAACTCAAACTAACCCAGGTGGCATAATCAAGTTGGATTTGGTAAACAGCTTTGACTAAAGTAGAGAATAAATTAATGGAAATAAGAGGGAAACAAAAGATTGTTAGGAGGTTAATGAGGTATGAATACAAATAGTTTAGTCCACAGCCATAGTTCTCAATGGGAGTAGCATCCACTCAGGGACAATATTAGAAATTCGTAAGAATGTTTTGTTCTGTTTGTTTTTTTTTCAGAGGAGTGGCTATGGCCCTTATTGTTTGCTGAGGTCCAGGCCTCTTGGGCATATTTTGCAATGTGCAAGACATTCAAACTTAAAGGGAGAATTGTCTGTGTCTCACAAAGTTTAGAATGTTTCACTCAAAAGCAGAGACTTAAATAAAAGTAAAAAAATTGCCTATAACCTAGTTACCTTTACATACAAACACAGAATTTTTATGTGATTTATGAACACGTTGAATTTTCAAGGAATGTGCACCCACTATGTGAGTGGAGAGATGATTATATCAGGCAGGTGCAGTTTTTGCCATTACTTTTAATAACAAAAACTGCAATTACTTTTCCACCAACCTAATACTTCAGTTTGGGAAATTACTAAGTGTTTTTGCCATTTTGGAAAATCATACCACTGAAGGTGATGCCATCTGAGTCTAATACAGTCGACCTGTGTGCCTTTGTAGCTGTCAAATTCACACAGATTATTTATGTAGGTAGAACCCTCTTGTTGTTAAGTCTTCCGGTCTAGCCAAGCCTGATATTTTCACACTGCAATACATACTAATTTAATGTAAGTTATTTTCTTTATGTGCATATTTCATATTACAGCTAAATATTTTGGTTTCGTTTTGAAATTGTATATGTAAGTTTGCTTATATCATTTATGCATTTCCTTTTTAATATATTAAAGGATGCATTACAAAACATCTGCTATAAAAAAAAGGTGCTGGTCTGAAACAGTTCGGATTCACTAGCATTGATTCAACTTTCCATCAGTAGAAATAGAAAAAAAAAATGGATAGAGTTCAAAGATATTTAAGAGTTGAAATTAAGAAGAGGTGCTGAGCGTTAGACATGAGGGTGGGATGGGTCGAGGGACAAGGAAGAGTCAGAGGACTCACGGATTATGGCTTGCGTAAATTAGTAGATGAAAGAGTCACTTACTGAGTTAAGGAATCCTAGAAGAGGACCCAAATTGGGAAGACAACATGAATTCAGTTTTGGTGCATATGCCTATGAAGTCAGATAGGATATATGGGACTAAGATTAGGGAAGAAGTTCGGGCTAGCGATATAAATTTGAGTCATCACATTTGGCAGAAGTTAACGTGAGAGTAAATATGAAATTCCACATCTCATCTATGTCTGAGCCTTGGAGACTCCCAGCACTTAATGACACCTTACATTAAATTCTCCCCACAATGCGTTAGAGAGGCATTACTCACTAGTCCTATTTTATGGTGGAAAAAATTAATACTGATAAAGATTACTCTGGCTAAAGTCACCAAGGGACAAGGTAACAGATTTGGAAATTGTGGATTGATAAAACAAAGTCCAAGATCATTTTTCATGCTTTTTGAGTCTATCAATGAACAAATAAACTCTCTCTCTTAGGAAATGTACACTGTGAGAGGCATGTATGATAAACAGTAAACATTATTGTTGGGAGACAATTCTTCATGGGTCTTTCATGTGCACACCTTGCTAGCAAGGCACTGACTGCCCTTTTTCTGGCCAATTGTATAAGAATAATTGTACAGTGAACAGCCTTGGAAGATAGATAGTATCTCCCTCCAGAGGGGGAATATTTATTGCCTGCTGCAAAAGAATCAGGTTTCCTAAGCTCAGAGTTTGTCTCCTGTAATAGGGCAATACTGTGGGAGTACAGGCATCCCTCTGGGCCCACCCACCTTGCCCCCATGCTACTTGAGACAAGGGAAACTGATGCAAACATGGTGATGTCCATTCAGCTTGCTGTGTCATACATAATAAGATCTTTTGTCTCTGACCTAGTGTGATGATTAATCCTGAGTGTCAACTTGATTGGATTGAGGGATACAAAGTATTAATCAATCGTGGGTGTGTCTGTGAGGGTGTTGCCAAAAGAGATTAACATTTAAGTCAGTGGGCTGGGGAAGGCAGATCCACCCTTAATCTGGTAGACACAATCTAATCAGCTTCCAGTGAATATAAAGCAGGCAGAAAAACATGAAAAAGAGAGACAGGCCTACCCTCCCAGCCTATACCTTTCTCCCTGCTGGATGCTTCCTGCCCTGGAACATCGGATTCCAAGTTCCTCAGTTTTGGGACTTGAACTGGCTCTCCTTGATCTTCAGCTTGCAGACAGCCTGCTGTGGGATCTTGTGATGGTGTAACTGAATACTTAATAAACTCCCCTTTAAATATATATATCCTATTAGTTCTGTCCCTCTAAGAGAACATTGACTAATACACCTAGTTTTATATTTTCTGCCAGCATCCATGAAATTGTGTTAGTTTCATTTGTTGGCTTGCAAGTGGAGTAAAAGCTTGAAAATTCTTGACAATAAAATAATATGCCAAATACTTACATAGTATGTTAGAAAATGATAAGAGCTAAAGGAAAAAAAAAAAAAGAGAATAGTGTAAGGGGAAACAGGCATCTCAAGGTGGGGTTGGGTGTTCTAATTTTAAGTAGCTTAACTAGATATTTTCCATTAAGAGGTGAACAAAGACTTGAAGGACTTGGAGGGGTTGCCGTGCAAACACAGAGGGGAGGAACATCCCGAGCAGAGAAGTCAATGCAAGTATCCTAAAACCATAGAAAGTTCATAAAGGGAAGAAGAATGGGAGGTGAGTCCAGAAAAACAGTGGAGAGGCCACCTCAAAAAGCCTCATGTAGGGCATTTGAGAACTTTGCTTTAATTCTGGGTGAAATGTAGAGTCACGGTCCAGTAGCAGGGTTAGATGATCTGACTAATGTGTTAAAAGAATCACATTTGCTACTCTGCTGAGATTACATAATAGGGAAGAAATAGTAGAAGCAGAGAGCCTATTTAGGAGATATTTTTACTGCATTGGCCAAAGGTTTTATTGTATTGTTCACCTACAGATGTTTAGATCAGGATAAGGTATTTCTGGTCTTTAAGAAATTATTATTATTATTATTATCATCATTATTATTATTACTAGAGTATTGGTTCCCTACTGCTCAACACAGATTGTGTTTAAAATCCCCTTTTCTTAAACTATGCAAAATTCAATGTCATGAGTGTCCAAAAGCAATGACCATTTCTCTGAATTCTTACATTATGTCATGATATTCAAGAGACAGTAAGATCAGAGGTGACATAGACCAACAGGTTTGATAAGGGTGATGATAGATGCTAAAGAAACCAACCAAACAAAAACAGTATTTATCAACCAAGTTAGTATTAACTGTATGAGGTTAGTATTAACTGTATGAGGTTATATCATGCCTTTATGAAAATACTCATTACTTTGGGATGTTAATAGACAACATTAACTCAGCAGGTGCAATAGATGATTGTGAACAAGGGAATTATTTTAATACAATCTATTCTTCCATTTTTTGCTTATTTAGAGACAACAGGATTTGAACTCCATTTGTGTGTATTGGCACCTGCAACATTATCTTTTCTAAACACCACAAAAGAGATTTCCTACACTACTCCAACCAGGAAACTTCATTATGATGTCTCTGAGGAGCTTGAGAAGAAATGATGTTTGTCACTGCATCAGCACTCTAACAACCTCTAAATAGGTGGTTCACTGACTAATTTGAACCACAATTTCATCGGAGTCTTACAGCAGAGTTTGGATAAAATGGTAATTGATCTTAAATCTGTGCATGTTCTAAACGCAAGTCTGACTTTACCACAGAGGCAGAGCAGGTGGCCACCCTCCAAACACAAAACATTACTGGGAACGAAATGCAAAATGACCGGTGTGTGAGTCAAAGACTGGGATTTGGAAAGAGTAGGCAATTTACAGTTTGCCTAGGGTAAGCAAAAATTCCACAGTCAACTGCTGACTACATGGATTAGCAAATTCAAACATTTTCAGGTTAGGAAGAGAGAAGAATTTGCAAATGAACTGACAATGGATTTAACAGGTTTTAGCCTGAGGTCGCTTAAAATTTTGAACACCACTTGCTTAGGAAACGGGGGCAGTCTGGAAGCAAGCACTAGTACTGGATCAGCTTTGCTAAAACTTACAGACCCTTGGGTTCACTGACTGTCCAAATGATTTTTGACTATTTCCGCGTATTTCTAATTGGGTCACAAAAATCAGCACACTTTCTCTAAGAAAACACTGTATACACACAACAGGTTCACACAAATCAAATATTCTGTTTTCTGTCTTCGGTTGTTTAAAATATTGAAATATGCCATACTCATGACACAATGGAAATATTCAAGCTGCAAGGTGAAACACATTCAAATATGGCTTAAAATGTCTATTCACTGAAAATGTATATTTCACCCAGAAATATATCCATTCAAATATTAATAAAACAAACTGGATGTTCAGCATTATGTCTGAGAGGCTTTTTTTGGCAGCCATAAACTATACACTGATCACTTTTGCACTAATATTATGAATGAACATTCTGCTCAAGTGATTCGATGAGGAAAGACTCCAGTGCAGTTTTGTCTTGACTAAACTTGGGTCACTCTCCAGAAGAACATGATATGTACTTTTCACCTCTAAAGCCAGGGAACCACATGCTGGCCCACACATGGCCAGAGCTGCAAGATCTGGTAAAAATAGTCCTCCATACACAATCTCATACAGATTTCCATTTTGATGTATACCCCATTTTACAATGAAAAGAGTTACAATTAAAAGCTTCCCTACTGTTTCTCTGGCCTCACCTCCTTTTAACTTCAAGCAGAGTAATTATTTTTGGCCAAGCAAGAACAGGATGCTTTAGGTTTGAGTAGGGAATGGAAGGGACTGCAAAATTTACAGAGATCAGCCTTGCAAGGTAAGGGGATACCATCAGGGACTCTTCTCCAGAAGGAAAGTCCTCTGAATCTTTCTCTCATCTACCATGTCATAGGAGGAAGTGGAAGGTGGAAGGAAGGGTTTTGGATAGGATGTAGACTCTTCCATTGTAGCAGTGATTGCTGAGAAGTCAAAAATCTCATATCTGAGAGTCTTATTTTCTCAGTAAATTTGGAGGCAAAGCAGTTTGCCAGCAGTGAAGTAGGCAATGGGAAAGTCTTAGGTTTAAAACAAGAATTGGGAATCTAGCATAGTGAAAACAGAGAATGAGACAGCAACTGTAAAAGGGGAATACAGTAAGATTTCAGGGAAGAATTAATGAACTAGGTAGGTTTCTTTTGTGTTTTGCAAACAAATTAGATGCACCATTGCAAAAGAAGAGACCTTCAAAAACATTTTGAGCACAATTTCCATATCTGAAAGAAATACATAGTGTTTTAAGGTAATTATCTGGAGGGACAGCCCTCGTTTATATGTATGAGTATTGACACCTTTAACTTAGAAAATTATTTTACTATATCATATAAAAATGTATATTGGTGGTTACACAAATCTACATGTGATAAAATGGCATAGAACAGTAGAATGATCACGCGCATTAACCCAACATCAAATTCCTGGTTTCTGAATTATACTATAATTCTGTAGGATGTAATGGCTGGATGAAATTGGATGAAGGGATGCACGTGCTACCTTGCAACTTCTTGTGGAACTCATATTTATTACAAAATAAAGAGTAAAAGCAAACAAAAACATAAGCTTCTTCACAAACATGAACATATGTTTTGGTGTATTCTGCAAGAGAACACAAGCGATGACGGGAAACTAAATTAACATCTCCATTTCCAAGCTTTCCATCAGCCATTATAAAAACAAATACTGAAATTATATTAAAAATGAGAACACTAAGTTACATGTTAAAAATATAGTACCAGGCTTTTGGTGGATGTCCGTACACAGTTGTTGCCAAAGGAAGCACATTGCCTCGCTTTTATTAAAAGAGGTTTACTTTATACATCACAAATCATGTAACAAGGGTCTGTATCCACCTTTAATTGATTAGAAAGGAATTTGAGAATGTTATTTCAAGTACATAGGGCACAAAAGAACATATACGTTGTTGCCTGAATACCAAAACCAACTATCGATTACTAACTACAGTTTGTTTTTGAACACAAGAAAAGCCCAGCAAGGTATAACTGAACAGCAAAGAAATCTCAAGTCATCTTGCTATAGCCAGTTCCCTCCAACTCTAAACAAGTGAAGAAAGCTGAAAAAATGATGTCACCAAGACTTCAGCATCATCAACTTTACACAACTTTACACGACAAGCCTGGAATAACACTACTGAGGAAGTTATATATGAATACTTTAAAATTTAAGTCTCCTAGAATATGGCAGAAAATATTTTTTTGTTTATGTTGGATGGTTAACTAAATTTAGCTTTCATTGTTAGTATTGCTTCAGACATGATCAGTAAAAATACTGTTCTATGTTTAAACATTATACATATTTTAAAGTATGTGATGTTTTTTCTAAGTACTAAAATGTTCTCTAGAGCACTAGATGCAAAATGGTTAAGTTGTCTCAAAGAACCCATGGTTGGAGGAAATGTTTTAATCATCTAAAAATATAATTCATTTAAATTCATTTTTCTAATTATTTTTAAAACCTTCAAAAATTGAAAATTATAATGGTTTCTTAAGTACTTTCTCACCCGTCAGTTTGATGCACATTTCCTGGGTCAGACATTTAGTGCCTCCAGATGTGCTGAGCTGGCAAGGTTGTCAGGTGTCATTTTATTCTTGGTTTTCTGATTTTGAGAGAGAGGAAGATACCATGAGGAACAGCTGGAATGTCAACAGATGTAACTGCTGATAAATTACCCAACAGTGTGCATATTTCTATGAAGCGGCATGAAAACTGGAAGGATTCCAAAATGTGATGTTAAAAAGAAAAACCAAACAAAGACTAAACTTGTTGATCACAGAATGAAATAGTAAAGTAGTTTTATGGTTTTTAACAGTATTTATGCACAATAAATCCACCATCTAGAACCTCTTTCCTGAACTTTAGACTCATAAATGCAATACCTACTCACCCTAGCCACTTGGATTTCTTTCTAATAGACGTATCCAACTAAACCTTTCTGAAACAGGTCTCCTGATATTCCCCCTCAAACTTGCTCTACCTGTCTCAGTTGATGGCAAATCAGTCATTCAGGGTAAAATCTTGGATCATTCTTGCTTCTTTTCTTTCTCTCACATTCAACATTCAGTTCTACTAGGCTATTTTGCTGGTTCTACCTTCAGATATCTTTAAAATCCTACCATTTCTCAGCATCGCCATCATACCCACTTTAGTCCCAGCCACGATTTTTTCTTGCTGGATCACTGCAGTAGCCTCTAACTGTCTCCCTGTCCCATCCTGCGCATTCCCATAATTTTTTCTCAATACCTCAGCCAGATTGATACTTCCACTTCTTCTCAAATGTTTTAATAGTTACTGTTTTCACTCCTAAGCCAAAGTTCTCCCTATGTCCTACAAAGTTTGACCTCTCTGTTACCTTGCTTTCCCTCAGTGAGTTCTCTCCACCCCAGTCAGACTGGACTCCTCCTTAGATCCCAGGTCTTTGCAGTGGCTGTTCTCTTTGCCTGCAAAGCTCTCCCCCATGATACCCACATGAAAACTCCTTCATCTACTTCAAGTATAGCCTCAATTTTTGTTCAGCTAAGTCTTTCCAGATCACCCTATTAAAAGCCTAAGAAAATATCAAGTATTCGTGAGGAATTAGAGCAGTTTTGAAAAATATAAAATGATTTAACCACATTAGAACACAGTTCTATGTGTGCCAAGCACAGTTCTAGTTTGGCAGTTTCTCATAAAGTCACCCAAACACTAACTGTATTTCCCAGAAATTTCACTCATTAGTTATACACACTATGTAAATAAAAAGTACATCTGCAAAAAAGGTGAATGTTTTGAGATTTATTTATAACAGCCAAAAGCTGGAAATCACTTAAATACCCATCCTTAGAGGAATAAACAAATTTAAATATATTCATATAACAGAATAATATTCAGTAATATGAGAAATGAATTAATAATAAGTACAAATAACGTGAATGAATCTCAAAAGAATTGGCCAAATAATTCATGCTGAAAAAGCACAGAATAACTAATTTCATTTGCATGATGTTCTAAGAAAACAAGAGTAATCTATAGTGAAAAAATGCAAAACAGCAGTATTGCTACTCTGGGCTTGGGAAATATTGCCTGCAAAGAGGGATGAGAAAAATTTCAGTGATGGAAGACATATTTCTATCTTGATTGTAATTACAGGAGTATATATATGTGTCATAACTTGTTGGTTTTCAAAAAGAAAAATAAGTTAACCTGTGATTTTTTTCATCATGCTCCATGAAACTAAGAACTCTAAAGAATCAATAACACATTCATCACAATATCTGAACTGATGACATTAACATAAAAATTGATACTGAAAAGATAGTTTCTAAAAATCCAGTAAAATTAGGAAAGGAAATGTATACATGTATTTCTTATTAATTTAATATTTTACTAATTTATTGTTTAATATTTATTTAATGTACATACTATGAAATAAACTGTGAGCTAAGGCAGTTAAAAGTTTAGATATTATAAAATATTTACTCATAGACAACAATAAATACATTACACATTAAAAAAAGTATGTATTGCCACAAAGATGGTACTTAAAGATAAATGTATAGCTATAAAGGTATTCATTTTATAACAAAAAAGATTGAAATAAATTTTCAAATTTCTCAACTTGCAATTTGAAAATTTAAAGATAGTAAAAGGAAGAAAATAATAAACTTAAGAACAGACTGGAATTAGCAAAAACATATAGATAACCAACAAATTCAAAACTGGCACTTTGAAATACAAATATAATAGACGTATCTCCCATAATGTTCATCAGGAAAAGAAAAGAAGGTTCATTACAGTGGGACAGACATAGTAAATACTAAAATAAAACAGGAAAGTATATTTAATGATTTAGTTTCAATACATTTTTAAAACTTCATACAATGAACAAATTGTTTAAAATTACCAGTATTTAATTAGTAATACATAGAAAATATATGTTATAAAATATTAAAAGGGAAAAAAGAAAAAAATTAAAAAGATCAGATATCAAAAATCTCCTGCTACCTTCCCAAAAGAAACAGTTTTACAAATCTATGAAGGATCAAGTAATTTATATTTTAAGCAAAAAGTCAAACTGAAAGGCTTATACATTTTTAAATAATTAGATATTCCCACTAAAATTAGATGCAAAAATTAATAAGCTCCAATAAACTGAATCTATTAGAATATTAAAATTATGACATTTTCAAAAAGAATGGAAAATAATTAAGCAAGAAAATAATGGTTAATATTATTACCAAATGTTAACAGATTTTTTTTTTTTTTTTTTTTTTTGAGACGGAGTCTCGCTCTGTCGCCCAGGCCGGACTGCGGACTGCAGTGGCGCAATCTCGGCTCACTGCAAGCTCCGCTTCCCGGGTTCACGCCATTCTCCTGCCTCAGCCCCCCGAGTAGCTGGGACTACAGGCGCCCGCCACCGCGCCCGGCTAATTTTTTGTATTTTTAGTAGAGACGGGGTTTCACCTTGTTAGCCAGGATGGTCTCGATCTCCTGACCTCATGATCCACCCGCCTCGGCCTCCCAAAGTGCTGGGATTACAGGCGTGAGCCACCGCGCCCGGCCATGTTAACAGATTTTAAAATGGAAAAACATATAATCCCTTAAATAACTGTAGATGACAGTCAATGCTTAATCATCACTGAAAAAAATCTTAGCAAGCTAGAACTAGGAGAGACTGTTGATAACTTGGTAAGAGGAAACTTTCAAAAACCTGTAACAAATATTATATTTTACACTGATACAGTAACGAATTCTCACTTAGGTCCAATCAAAACAAGGATATTTAGTGCTTCTACCAACATTCAAGCATTGTACTGGTGGTTCTAGGCAATGACATAAGAGAAGAAAAAGAAAAGAGGCATCAACATCTATTATTAACAAATCCAAGAGTAATCTGCTTAGAGAATATACACATAAATTATTAGAACAAATAAGAGCTCAGTAAGGTTACTATATAAAAGAGCATTATGCAAATAGCAATAGATTTCCAAGGTACCTACAATGAACCATTAGAGAATGTAATATAAAATATACTATTAAAAATAATATCAAAAGTAACAAGTGCAATAAAGCTTGTTCCTAAAAGTAATAAAAAACTAAAAGTATCTACTTTGAAAATCTAAATGTATGGAGGGAATTGTAAAATATTACTAAAATATATTAAAAAGAATTGTTACTTGGAGAGCTATAGTCTATATATGACTACTTATAAATATTAAGAATCAGTATCAGACATACATCAATTCTTCACAAATAACCTATGCATTATAATTTATTATTAATAATCCACAAATGATGAAAGATATTTGTATATCTACACACACAAATATACAACAAAAATTTGAATATGTTCTATCTTTCCTAGAATCTAAAATTCAGAGAAAAAATTAAAACAATCTGATACCATCTCATATTCACAAGCTGACCATGATTAAAATGCTCCACTGTAATGTTACAGGAATGTGGCAGGGATATAATTGTTTAAAGCAAATAACAGAGAAAAACATTTTTAAAGCCATTTGGTAAAGATTAAAAATAGGTCTAGACAACAACCTAGAATCTTGTTTTTACATAAATATGTCCAAGAAGTTCCATATGTAGGAGACATGTGTATACAGGAATGTTAATTTCCCCATTGTTATTAATAGCACAAAAACAAAAGAAAAAACATAAAACCTGGAAAAAGCCTGTGCACTCATAAATAAGTTATAATAAAAATAAATAGCAAAAAGACTACTAGAAATACTAGAAAGCAGAAAACATATTATATGAATAAACTAGAGCTATACAAATTAAATAGAATAGATTTTAAAAACAATGCAAAAAAGCAGGTTGTAGAAAGACTGAAATATGCATGAATGTATTAAAACATAAGATAATGATGCATTTTGTAAATGATTACATATGTGTGTAGTACACATGTAAAAACATAATCTAGAGGAAAACAAAACTTATCACAGCAGTTGCCTCTATTTACAGAGGAAAGGAGCAAAAAAATTGGGCCATATAAGAAACTAAAGAACTATCAACTCCTTCTTTAATATTCTATGTGATAAAATCAGGCTCAGAATAAAAGATGACAATGTAAACACATATCATATTAGGTTGAAGGGTAGATGGGTATGACTTACACTATTCTCTTTGCCTTTTTTGGTAATGTTTTTACACTTCTCTAAAGAAGTAATTATTAAATGGATTAAATAGTTTATTAATTAAAGATCTAATAGGATCCATCAACACTTAATCATTTACTGAGATAGTAAGGCAATGATACTCTCCCTCAAACTAATAAATGGACATTTAAAATTTTACAGCTAATGGTAGAACAGCTAAATTGCAGTAAAATGCTTGGCTTCATTAGTCACTAGGGAATGCAAATCAAAATCTCAATGAGATATTGCTTCACATACACTAGGATGGCTAGAATAAAATAGCCAGATAATAACAAGTGTTGACAAGGATGTGGAAAATGCACACACTCATACAGTACCAGTTGGAATGTAAAATGGTGCAGCCACTTAGCAAATCAGTCTGGCTGATTTTCAAATGGTTATACATAAAGTTACTATATGTCATAACAATTCCATTCCTAGGTATGTACCCAAGAAAAATGAAATCCTATCTCCACACAAATATTTGCAAATGAATGCCTGTAGCAGCATTGTTTATAATAGCCAAGTATGGAAACAACTCAAGTGTCCATCAATGGATGAATGAATAGATAAACAAAAATGGTATATCTATAAAATGGGATTTTTTTTCAGACATGAAAGGGAATGAAGTATTGATACATGCTATAATATGGATGAACCATGAAAACATTGTGCAAGAGGAAAGAAGCCTGTCACAAAAGACCATATACTATACAATTCCATTTATATGAAATGTCCAGAATAGACAAACATATTGACATAGAAAGGAGATAAGTGGCTGCTTATGGCTAGAGGAATTGGAAGAATAGGGGAGTTAACAGCTACAAAGTACAGGGTTTATTCTTGATGCTATGTAAATGTTCTAGCATTGACTGTAGTGATGGTCACACATACTGATGAATACATTGAAAACCATTAAATTTTACATATTTATTTATTTAGAGACAGAGTTTCACTCTGTCACCCAGGCTGGAGTGCAGTGGCACAATTTCGGCTCACTGCAACCTCTGCCTCCAGGGTTCAAGCGATTCTCCTGCCTCAACCTCCCGAGTAGCTGGGACGACAGGCACCTGCCACCATGCCTGGCTAATTTTTGAATTTTTAGTAGAGACAGGATTTCACCATGTTGGCCAGGCTGGTCTCGAACTCCTGACCTCAAGTGATCCACCTGCCTCGGCCTCCCAAAGTGCTGGGATTATAGGCATGAGCTACTGCGCTCGGCCAAATTATAACATTTTAAATGAGTGAATTGCACAGTGTGTGAATTATATCTCAATAAAGCTATTCCCAAAAAGGCAATAATATTCTAACTAATAATATCAGTTCATTAAAAACAATTTATTTGCCTTAGACTTAGAAAATATATACGTGAATTGCACCTGAATTGGGCCTGATCACAATGCTAAAGTGCTTCCTGTCATTACATAAAAGATGATGTTTTATACACCACAACCATCAGCAAAAGATCATTACTACTGCACCTCCTGTATGTTGTCAGATAATAACTCCACCTATCTGAGCTGCCAACACAGTGTCTGCTGCTTTATCACACATTACACTTCAGTTGCAGATGTTTTATTTTTGCTTTTTCTTCAATTATCACAAGATTGTTTAAAGAAGTTACAAGACCTATGCAATAAAAACAGCCATTCGAAATTTCCATTCTCAATAAGAAATTAATTTATGCTTAGTCTTTTATTGTTATTTTTGCTCATATTTGGCTTATAGTCTTTTAGACAAATCTATTTCTAGTTCTGTATTGATTATATTATTGACAACCCATTATCTCTTATTATATTTTCATTTTAATAGAAAATCTTGTATTAAGATAGTTAATTGGGCCTCCTTACTCTTTCCTTCATCATATTAAAATAAAAGAAGATAAAAGAAGGCACAATTTAAAAAATCTAAGAATCTGTAACCCCAGCATTTTGGGAGGCCGAGGCGGGCGGATAACAAGGTCAGGAGATCGAGACCATCCTGGCTAACACAGCGAAACCCCATCTCTACTAAAAAAAAATACAAAAAATTAGCCGGACATGGTGGTGGGCGCCTGTAGGCCCAGCTACTTCGGAGGCTGAGGCAGGAGAATGGCGTGAACCCAAGAGGCGAAGCCTGCAGTGAGCTGAAATCGCGCCACTACACTCCAGTCCGGGCGACAGAGCAAGACTCCATCTCAAAAAAAAAAAAAAAAAAATCTATGAATCAACATTAACATATGATTGTTTAGCTTTCAACCAATCAAACGAATGTCTTCCTTCAATATGTGAGAGCTCATATGTGTTAGTCACTTTGGGGCTTGTATACATTAAAGGAAGAAAGGGATGGGTGGATAAACGGATGGTGGGAGAAAAAGAGAGCTCTAGTTAAAGGAAGAATGATAAAGAGGTAAGGCAGGCTGCCACATTTAGAGGTTTGATGAGGCCTCTCAAGTTGCCAAAGCAGCGTAGGCTAGTAAAAGTGGGACTGAACACAAAGTCAGGAGGCTTTGATCTTGGATGATCCATATGAACTTGCTAGGTTTCAGATCTCAGCTTCACCTTACAATGAGATGGTTGGTTTTCAACTTTTCAAACTCTGATTCCATCATCAGCACTGTCAAAAATAAGCTCAGAAAAATCACGTTACTTCTATCAGCTCATGTGTAGTGTCACCAAACATTGGATTGATAGATTTTTGTTTTAAAGATTTTCTATTATGAAATTAACCAGGTCAATAAAATTTGATAATTATAAACAGCAATGTTTACATATTCCTCTCTCTATTCTGTTCTAAAATGTTGCCAAGCTTAACTTCTATTTCTTTATGTGTTCATTTCTATTTTTTTTAGAGACAGGGTCTTGCTCTGTCACCCAGGCTGGAGTGCAATGGCATGATCATAGCTCACTGCAGACTCAAACTCCTGGGCTGGAGCGATCCTTCCAGCCTCTCAAGTAGCTGGGATTACCAGGTGTGAGACACTGTGCCCAGCTAATTAAAAAAAAAGTTAGAAGTGGATTATTGCTATGTTGCCTAGGCTGTTCTCCAGCTCCTGGCCTCAAGTGATCCTCTTGCTTCAGCCTCCCAGGTAACTGGATTACAGGTGTGAGCCACTATGCCTGGCTCTACTTCTTCTTATATCAAGATTTTTGTGCTTTATCTATATGTGAAAATTTTAATTAGTATGTGCTGATATTTCTTTTCTTTCTTTTTTTTTTTTTTTTGAGATGGAGTCTTGCTCTGTCACCCAGGCTGGAGTGCAGTGGTGCGGTCTCGGCTCACTGCAAGCTCTGCCTCCTGGGATCACGCCATTCTCCTGCCTCAGCCTCCCGAGTAGCTGGAACTATGGCACCTGCCACCGCGCCCGGCTAATTTTTTATATTTTTATTTTTATTTTTTTTTGAGACGGAGTTTCGCTCTGTCACCCAGGCTGGAGTGCAGTGGCGGGATCTCAGCTCACTGCAAGCTCTGCCTCCTGGGTTCAAGCAATTCTCCTGCCTCAACCTCCCGAGTAGCTGGGATTACAGGTGCCCGCCACCATGCCCCGCTAATTTTTTTTTATTTTTAGTAGAGACGGGGTTGCACCATGTTAGCCAGGATGGTCTCGATCTCCTGACCTCGTGAACCACCTGCCTTGGCCTCCCAAAGTGCTGGGATTACAGGTATAAGCCACTGCACCTGGCCTCTGCTGGTATTGCTATGGTACGATCACTCATTCATTCCACACACTTTTTAGTGCTATGTGTCAGGCATTTACCTAGGGTCAGAAAATGCTTAGCAAATATTAACAAAACAAAGAAATCCATTATATTCTCAGAGCTTGCAATTTTACTAGAGAGAGACAAATATTAAGCAAACACGTCCATAAGATATACAGCATATTAGATTGTAATAATATATGGAGAAAAATAAAACTAAAAATAGGAATGGGAATTGCTAGTTATCCAGATAGTGATTTTATTGGAGAAGTCAGAAAATCCTAGGAAAGAAGTGACACTTGAATAGAATCCTGCAGGAGGTGAGGAAGTGAAATATGGGTGTGTGTAGATCAAGTACTTTCCAGGTAGAGAGGAGAGCAATAGTGGAGACCTTGAGGCCAGAGCATTCTTAGATAGGAAGAGTTGGATGAAGGTGTCAGAGGATAATATCAGACAGGTGGTGGAGGCATATCACGTAGGGCTTCCTAGGCCATTGCTAGGATCAAATTTTTACCCTGGGCAAGGTGGGGAGCCATTAGAGAGTTCTGAGCAGATAAATTGCTTGACGGTACTTACACCTCTGGAAAGGATCATACACTGGCTAGGTGGGCAAGGACTGACATAGGGAATCAGGTGAGAGGCTATTGTAATAATCCAGGTAAAAGATGACAGTGTCTTGAACCAGGAGTGGAGATAATGAAAAGTCAATTTTTGGATCTTTGTTGTTGTAGAATTAATACTTTTTTGTTAAATTTGATATTGGGTACAAATCAAAGAGGAGCCAAAGATGATACAAGATTTTTGGTTAGAGAAAAACAATGAATTTTTTTTCTTCATTAAGACAGAGGAGATCTTAACAGGAACAGCTTTGGGACTGTAGGTCAGGAGTTGAGTTTCAGAGATGTTAACTCGGAGAATATTACTAGACTTTCAATGGAAATACTGAATTGGCTTTGGAAATAGGGTCTCCTACAGATGTCAAGGATAGCCACATCAATTTAGGAGTTATGAGCTTATAAAAGATATCTAAAACTTTGACACAAGAAGCACTTCTAGGAATGAGCCCTAGAACATGCCAACATTTGAAGGTTTTGGAAATGAGGAGAAGTCAGAAAAGAAGACTGGTCAGTGAGGAGGCAGGAAGATCAGGAGAGCGGTGCTTCAAGAGTCCTTTTGAGGAAGCAAGGACTAGCCATGTCTAAAAGCCGTAGCAGTTACAATAAGAGGTGGGATACAAACTTTGGTTTTGACACAAGTTGGCTGAATGTAGTAGCAGGAGTGAAAGCTGGTGGGAGTTAGTTGAAGAACTTGAGATTCCTGTGATCCTAGAAGGCATTCCTATGACTCTAGTATTAGTTCTGTCTCTTCAGCAACCTTTCTGACACAAAGGATGCTATATATATAGCATGTGTGTATATATAGCATATGTGTATATATACACACACATTTATAAACCTTAATGTGTGTATATAAACATATATACATATATTATATATTATATATACACATATAAACATATTAACCTTAGTATGTTTATATGTGTATATATGTGTCTATAATATAAACCTTAATATGCTTATATGTGTATATATATAATAATAATTATTATTATTTTGAGACAGAGTTTCGCTCTTGTTGCCCAGGCTGGAGTGCAATGGCGCCGTCTCGACTCACCGCAACCTCCGCCTGGCGGGTTCAAGCGATTCTCCCGCCTCAGACTCCCAAGTAGCTGGAATTACAGGCATGCGCCACCATGCCTGGCTAATTTTGTATTTTTAGTAGAAACAGGGTTTCTCCAAGTTGGTCAGGCTGGTCTTGAACTCCCGACCTCAGGTGATCTGCTTGCCTTGGCCTCCCAAAATGCTGGGATTACAGGTGTGAGCCACTGCGCCCAGCAAAGGATGCTATATTTACAGAATGTTTTATTTCTGTTAATAAAAGGAAGGATATTAGTGCTGGCAAAAGCACGTCATTATTAACTTTATTATCTCTTCCCTACTAGAGATCAACTCTCTATCTCCTTCTTCTTAATTCCTACTCTTGGAAAAAGAGAGGTAACACAAGACAGGTACTTTTGAGAGGGGCGAGGAGAGATTTGGGAACAAACAAATGTGAGTGGCTGATATCAGCCTGGCTGGATGGAAAATGTATAGTGAGAGCAGCATGGGTGACTGATCATCACCAGGAGAGCCCTGGATCCTCCCTGGAAGAAGCAGAGGAGGGCAAGCAAGGCATTGAGGATGACAAGGATACAGACATTCAGCCTGATTATTTTGCTTATGTTTGGCTCTGATGAGTGCTGTGAATGCAGGTCCTATCAGCAGCAAATGATGGCTTTGCCTTTAGCTGCCCTAGATTGGTATAAACACTTGGTTATGCCCTGGTCCAACCAAAAGTTACAATAACGCTCACAGAGAGATTCAATTAGCTTAACAAATTATCAATTTGTAGAGTTCCTTGCACATGTAGTAACATGCCCACAAAGCATCTCTTTGTGATCCAGCAGCTGTCCCGTCCTCAATTCACAGCTTCATTAATCATGTGCTCTGCTTGCTATTGTCTAAATTACGGAGCCATTTGAGATGGGAAAAACACTGCAAGGAAACGCTGCCTACGCTTTAAGAAGTGAAAAGGGCCACAAATGAGAAAACATATTTTTGAATCAATGTTAACATATTTTTGTTATTTTTAATTACAATTTAACACAGCTACATGGTTATATATATATAAATGTTACATATTGTTAATATACATATTATCTATAAACATTCCATATAATGTTTATAGATAATATGTATATATAACAACGTGGCTATGTTAAATTGTACTTAAAATAATAACTATATATTTAATTGTTATGACAATTGTATATATAATTGTCATAACAATTATATATACATACAATATAATATATAAAAAAGAATTGTATATGCAGTATACTTATGATTTGATTAAATATAATAAATATAACAAGATATAATTTTCAATTATATAATTATAGAATGATATATTTAACATAAATTGTGTAATTATAAAATAATATCTAATATAACTTGCATATATAATTGTATAATTATGTATACAATTATAAAATAACAATTATATATATGATATATACAATAACACCAGACTGCAAACACTATTTTTTTACTTTCTTGTGTATTCTTCCATTAATACTTTTTTGCACGTCAAATATCATAAACTAAGTCAAAAAGGAAACGAAAAAGCAACTGTTTTCTCAGAGAGATTTTGTTGTTGCACTTAGAGAAGGAAAACTTGATGTCACTATCTGGAACTCTACTGCAAACTGATCAACCAAAGCCATTAAGTTCAAATGCCCTGAGTGTGACCTGTCTTGCCAGCGAGTTATTCTGCTTCTTGGCTTCCTCTTCTTGTAGGAAGAGATGAGGAAATGAGGCTGAGGAATTCAAAGTTTCTCTGGTGCCTATGTCTCACCTTGTTTTCAGCCTATAAAGGATGGAAGGTTGAAGTGGCAGATATTGCAGGTTGTTGGATTTGTTTTCAAGGGTAAAGGGAAGGGCACATAGAGCAAAACAAGCAGGCAGCCCTAGATGGTTGTGAGCTGTACCATAGAGCCCCAGGAGTGCAAGTTTCCACCTTCTCCTAGTATCAGACTCCCAACTTCTGGATCTTCTCTAAGTAGTGATGCTGGGCAGGTGATACAAGTGGATGTATAACTAGGTGTTGCTTTCTTCAACGGTGATTCCCAGCAGAGTTAGAAGAAGAAGTGACATTTAAAATCTAGAATGTCTCTCAAGTATACAAGTTCAAGTTAAGCTTTTTGTATACAAAGATTTTTCTCAGTGTTGTGCTGGAGCCATGCACACAGACTCAAGTGAGCCAATTGTACATCAATGAGGACATTTTTTTTCTTTTCATTTTTCCCCCAAGCAAGCCAGTGTGTTACATCCTATTCAATAACATAATCAATTATCTGTAGCAAAATTTCTCTCAAACTCTCCTCAGGCCTCTGAGCCCAAACTAAGCCATCATAACCCCTGTGACCTGCACATACACATCCAGATGGCCAGTTCCTGCCCTAACTGATGACATTCCACCACAAAACAAGTGAAAATGGCCTGTTCCTGCCTTAACTGATGACATTATCTTGTGAAATTCCTTCTCCTGGCTCATCCTGGCTCAAAAGCTCCCCTACTGAGCACCTTGTGACCCCCACTCCTGCCTGCCAGAGAACAATCCCCCTTTGACTGTAATTTTCCTTTACCTACCCAAATCTTATAAAATGGCCCCACCCCTATCTCCCTTCGCTGACTCTCTTTTCGGACTCAGCCCGCCTGCACCCAGGTGAAATAAACAGCCTTTTTGCTCACACAAAGCCTGTTTGGTGGTCTCTTCACACAGACGTGAGTGAAACAGAGTATCTCCTAACTTGGTCATAATGGGTAGACTATGGAATCCACAAAATTTTTTTCATTTGCTATTTCTTCCTCTTATTTTATGGTCATTAGCCAAAAAAAAAAAAAAAAAAAAAAAAAAAGATCTTATCACTAAAACAGACAGGAATGAAATATGTGCAGTGTAGCTTGCTCAGGCACGTTCTGTGCTTTTGTCTGTTCTTATTCTTATAGCTTAAAAAATGCACAAATTGAAGTTTTATTATAATTTTCTCTCTCAGGTTAGCCTCTCTCTCAATAAAATCTCATTCAATGTCACAATGACTAACTGATTTGCACATATTCTTCTGCATTTACTAATATAAATATTCTACTATTTGTCTTTTAAATGTATCCTTTCTTTTTATGCAACAGTGTTCTCAATAACAGGGTTGATAGTGATAAAAACTGTAACAAATCTACTAATTCATCACAGCAGTTCAGGGAGATGCACATGTAAGTGTGTTCGTTACCTGTTATTTATTTAGCTATCAATTTTAACTATTGATAAATGTAACTGTGGATAAGTTCCTAAGAAGTAATAAAGCACTCATGTCTAATGGCAACACATTTTAATAAAAATGACAAGTGTTTTTTTTGTGTTTTTTTTTTTTTTTTTTTTTTTTTTTTTTTTGAGACAGAGTCTCGCTCTGTCAACCAGGCTGGAGAGCAGTGGCATGATCTCAGCTCACTGCAACCTCCGCCTCCTGGGTTCAAGCAATTCTCCTGCCTCAGCCTCCTGAGTAGCTGGGATTACAGGTGTGTACCACCATGCCCGGCTAATTTCTGTATTTTTAGTAGAGACAGGGTTTCACTATGTTGGTTAGGCTGGTCTCGAACTCTTGACCTCGTGATCCACCTGCCTTGGCCTCCCAAAGTGCTGGGATTACAGGCGTGAGCCACTGCACCCGGCCAAAAAAGACAAGCTTTTAATGCCTTATTTTATTTTATAAACCTGTCATACTTGTTTATGTTAAATCAAGATATACATATAAATGAAGATTTAAAATATGTCTCAGATCTTTAAAATATTTCTGTCAGTATGTTCAACATTTTAAATTATCTTCAACATCACACAATGTAAAACAGTATACTTAATCCACCCCTAAGTACCCAAAATAATTGAAAATAGGGACTCAAATTTTTGTATACCAGTGGTCATAGCAGCATTATTCACGATGGAAAAAAGATGGAAACAACCCAAGTGTTCATCGACAGATGAACAGAAAAACAAAATATGACATACACATATGATGAAATATTATTCAGCCCTGAAAAAGAATGACATTCAGAAACATGCTACAAAATGAATGGGCCTTGAAAACATCATGCTAAGTAAAATAAACCAGACATGAAAGAATAAACATTGGATTATTCCATTTATACGAAATAGTTGGAAAAGGGCAAATTCATAGTAAAAGCTAATAGCTTAGAGGTTATCAGGAACTGCAGTGGAAGGCAGGGAGATGGGGCATTATTGCATAAAGGATACAAAGATTTTTTGTTGTTGTCCTCAACTTGTTTAATATGGAAAAGGGTAATCAAAACGGTAGGCAGGGTTGCCGTTTTTAATACATTCTTGGAATGTTGGCCATTCAGAGCATTATTTCAAACAGATGAAGAGTTATCCAACTTTTTTGACTCAAAGATAGTTTGCTTAGATTTAACAATACTTAATTCCATGGGATTATGGTGGCTAATTTATCATGATAATGAAATATAAAAATGTGCAGGCTCTGAGCTGACGACAGAAGTAAGGACTACCGTGACAGGAACAGTTGATGGGCTAAGAGGCAACCAATCACAACATTATCATTCCCTTGTAACAAAGGGTTAATACTTTAACATAAATTAATTATACATTCATTATGGTGTTTTAAAATAGTCAAGCCTAAATAAATTTTTCATACCATCAAAAAGATATACATACTAAAAACCAGCTTAAGCACAAAGTTTATCATTTGACAGCTCTAGGCCTGGGCCTTATACATTGACAAGGATCTTCTGCTTCTTCAAACTTAATATAATAAGTCTGGCAATCATTTTATATAAAAATAGACTAAATTTAAAACCTCACCAAACTTGGTGTTGTAGAAAATCAGAGAGACACCCCAGAATAGCTAAAACCCATCATTCTCAAGTGAGCTAGCATCTAGTAACCTGGAGGGCTTGTGAAAACAGCTCACTGCACCCCACCACACCCCTTGCATTCAGGAGGCCGGAGGGGGGCCCGTACCTTTGCATTTCTAAGAAGTTCCTAGCGGGATGCTGCTGCTGGGCCAGGAACCCCACTTTGAGAACCACTGGGGCTAAGACAACTGTAAAAACTTAGCACCATCTCCATCACTGTTCAGTAGTAGACAACATCAGCTTTCTGTCATCTGCATTTATTCTGCAGGGGACCATGTGGAGCTGGCCCTCGTGATACCACTGCTTAGTACTTTATTGTCAAAAGAGAAGTTCTGGGCTTAGCTAAAAGGGAGCACTTCTCTGTCAGCATGCAATATAGTTTATAACTAAAGCCATATACAACATATTTGAAATGTTTTATTTAATGCTGAAAATTTTACCCTAAGTTACAAAAGGATGTAAAAAGAAAGGAAAAGGCACACAAAGTCAAAAGGATACAAAGTTTTGTTTGAGATGATGAAAAAATTTTAAACTAGATAGTGGTGATGGTTGCACAACATTGGGAATATAATTAAGGCCACTGAATTGTACACTGTAAAGATATTGTTTGCAAGCTGATCTTTCTTAGCCTGAGTCACTTGCACATGACATACACAGTTCATTTGAGAGTGAGATACAAAATATTCTGACCCCTAGAGGCTTCATCATTTTCTAGCCTCTTCTGCTTTGGTTAAAAATTGTTGAATGCATATTTTTCGTGTTGAATGTTGGGACCTTCCACAGTGATGAGCTCCGACTCTTAGTTTATTTTTCCTGCTTCTCACCTCAGTTCTTCATCCCCCTAAAACCATGGCATTTACCTCTATGACAAAAATATGCTAATATATATATTTATTTTACCTATGCATTATATGGTTGAGATAAGCAAGATGCAAAACATAAAAATGGTTCACATGGCTGGAAAAGAACCCTCAGCCCTACAGAGTACAATCGAATGACTAACTAATGAGGCTCTAATAATTTCTCTATTCTTTTTCAAGTGTACATTTTCCCAACTGATCACTTTCTCTGAGTTTTTCTTTGCTGCAGCAGCATATTTAGAAATGATTTCTCTCTATGTGTGAACAGTAGCTTAATTTGTGTTCATAATTGCCTTGCCTCTCAGGCTGAATCTAATAACTGACCTCTACACCACCCTCCACTTAAAAGTGAAGTCAATTTGGCCAGTATTTGTAAAACAATCATGGTGATGACCCTACGGAGAAATACAAAGATTTGCAACTTTGATTTTGGGGAAAGAGACTGGTAGGATGAATGTAAGGAGACTAATCCATTAGGTACCCCAAGACATCCTTCTCATGAGGAGAAGGTGCAGCACAGCCAGAACCTCACCATGAACAATGTCATTCCCTTAAAGGGTTTTTACTTCTGGGTGACAGAAGAGTGGTTTGAAAGGTCATTAAAAGTGGACTATGAGATTGCCAAGGCAAACTCAATCCCTGAGACTATTAAGAATCAGCAGCTGGGCGCGGTGGCTCATGCCTGTGATCCCAGCACTTTGGGAGGCTGAGGTGGGCAGATCATGAGGTCAGGAGTTTGAGACCAGCCTGGCCAACATGGTGAAAGCCCATCTCTACTAAAAATACAAAAATTAGTCAGGTGTGGTGGTGGGCACCTGTAATCCCAGCTACTCGGGCGGCTGAGGCAGGAGAATTGCTTGAAACCAGAAGTTAGAGGTTGCAGTGAGCCGAGATCAAGCCATTGCCCTCCAGCCTGGGCAACAAGAGTGAAACTTTGTGTCAACAAATAATAATAATAATAAAATAAAATAAAATAAAAATCAGCATGCTGGAGAAACCAGGAAGGCTTGACTGAAGAAAACCTTGCAAAAATCATATGACTGGTAACATTTTCTGCCCTGGTAGATGACATCAACAGGTAATATCAGCATATAGCTCATATAACAAAGATGATTTCAGTACTTGCAGGCTTTCAGAACAAAAGGAAAAATTAGGTAGGAGTGGTCCGAACAACCCCATGGAAGACTAGAAATTAAGAGGCAGATGAAAATACTATGATGTTACTACTTTATGGATAACTTCTAGGGAATATGAATTTACTTCATCTTGTTCTTGTGTGTTCTTCCAAGATGATATGGGCATGAAATACTGGATATTTCACTTGAGTCCAAGAATGGTTACCTGGACTAGATTTCATTTACTTCTTTGTTATTTATAAAGCAAATGCTCCAAGCAATGTGCTGTTCACTGGAAATACTAAAAAAAATCCAATAAAGGTCCTGTTTTTCTTTTATTCTTTTTTTATTTGAGATGGAATTTTGCTCCTGTTGCCCAGGCTGGAGTTCAATGGTGTGATCTCAGCTCACTGCAACCTCCGTCTCCCAGGTTCAAGCTATTCTCCTGCCTCAGCCTCCCAAGTAGCTGGGATTAAAGGCATGTGCCACCAGACCGGGGTAATTTTGTATTTTTATTAGAGACGGGGTTTCGCCATGTTGGTCAGTCTGGCTGGTCTTGAACTCCTGACCTCAGGTGATCCACCCGCCTCGGCCTCCCAAAGTGCTGGGATTACAGGTATGAGCCATTGCGCCTGGCCAAGGTCCTGTTTTTCAAAACTAGTAGGGAATGAGACAATTAAGCAATAACTTTTGGTGTGGTGAGTAATGTGATGGAGGGTGCTCTAAGCATGTGGGTAACTTAGTCTGCTTAACCACTTATGGCAGTTTAGATAGAAGTCAAAAGAAATCCTTGGAGAAGTAAGTAAGGTTTACACTGATAAAAGAATATTTTGAATTAGTCAAAGGAGATGAAATTAGGTTTGGGAGAGGGGGTATTGGGAGGGTTTCTCGGGCAGAAAAATAACACTGTCTTATTTTTATGAAGTCAAACAAAAGACAGCATGATGTAGAGATATAGTTGAGGATTTTTCAAAGCATCATCTTATTTTCTACAATATTTTACTATATACTGCTAAAGTATATATAATTAAAAAGAGTCTCTAAAAAGAATTCTGTTTTCTTGAATTCTGAAATTCAGAGAGAGAGAAAGCCTTGTTGATATTGATTTCTAACGATAATTCTAATGCAAAGTAATTTGTTCATCTTCTATATTGGTGTGTGTGTATGTGTCTGTATGTGTGTGTGCTTACAAAGACAGGAGAGAGAGAGGGGCAACAATGACTACTGATATGACAGAGGAGATGGAAGGCTATGTAATGTTGGCAGTGCATGGAAGGAATCGTTTTTTACCTCACAAAAGGATATAGAATGGCATTTTCTGACACTTATCTGGGCCTATCACTCTCACTATTTGGGGGAGTGGTCCTTGGAAGAGTGTTAAAAGCAACACATAAGTCTTAGAGCTTATGAAGTGGTTATAGAGGCTTCTCCAAGGAGAAGAGCCCTTGTTCCCATCAAATGGCCTTTTACCATTATTTGGTGAAGCCCGTCAAGGACACACTGCTGAAGTGTCCATGTGTTGGTTTCTTTAGGCTGGTGAGTGCTTTTCACAGAAGTACATCTCTGTTGCAAGCTCTCAGAAGTTTCTTTCCTCTTCGATCTTTGATGGTTGGTAGGTAGCCTCATTGCATTTACATCAAACAAGTTGACAACTTCCTGAAACTGAACTTTTTCAGCAATCATTCTTGAAAGTGGTGTTTCTTTCCATCAGTGGTTTCATAGACTTTCCAAAGCAACATGACTTTTTTTTTCTATATGGTCATTTATTTCACACATTATTTACAAACGTATGTATGTATGTATGTATGTATTAACTCATTCAGCAGAAAGGTATCCATCATCCAC
This sequence comes from Homo sapiens, assembly GCF_000001405.40. Lineage (NCBI taxonomy): Eukaryota > Metazoa > Chordata > Mammalia > Primates > Hominidae > Homo > Homo sapiens. The sequence goes on from NC_000006.12 coordinate 23,035,394, forward strand.
TGCGTGCCAGGTGCTCTGGTAGGTGCTAGGGATATAATTTTAGACACGAGAGAAAGGAAAATGATCTCTGACATCATGGGATATACAAGCTGGGAGGAAGTATGAACTTCAAATGAGTAATTACAAATTTCAATTAGAGAACAGAAGTTTTATATACATATAAAGGGAATTTCTTACAGAGATGCAAATTTACCCAAGGGTGGAAGCCGGTTAAGCAGTCTCTGTAAGACTTATGTTGGAGCTTCGGGTCTATAGAGTGGGCAGTTGAGAAAGAAAATAGACATAAAGTGGGACAGAGCAAGAATGAGCTGGAAGCATGAACTAAAGCCCTCAAGGACTGGAACCCGTGTACAGTTTTGTTGCCTCTGCTGTTGGTAGTGCAGGTGTCCTGCAGGATCCAAGGCTCTTCTTCACAGAGCTAAACACACACACCTGACCGGAAGTTAGAGGCACTGAAGGAGCATGCCAGAGAAGCTGATGCAGCTGCAGGACCAGCTGCAGCTCACAGTAGGGAGCGGAACCCACAGATCAGCACCAATGTACCTGAGCAACAAAATGGCTGCCGCTTCACTTCCTGCATTTCCCATCTCCCACAGGAACCCCTTCTGTGTCTCACCCTAACTGAAAACTTATTACAGAATGGAGAATTCTGGGAAATGCAGTTCAGTGGCACTTAATTGAAAACACATTAAGAATCTATCGACGTAGTGTTAGAAAGCAGGATGGTGGTTATGGCAGGCAATGGGAGGAGACCAAGGAGGCTTCTGAGATGTTGGTCACATCCTATTTTGGGATCTGGATGCTGTTACACAAGTGTGTTCACTTTGTGAATATTTTTTGAGTGGTGTATTTTCTGTGTGTAGGTTATACTTCAATAAAAAATAATGAAAAGTCAATTAAAAACCCAATAATAACATAGTAAGCATTATACAATGGGGGAAATAAAGATACTACGAGAGCTAATAGATAAATAGAGGTAACCTAACTAGGAGCTTAGGAAAGAGCTCTATGTAGTTAATGTTTCAGGTGAGATTGAGGCATGAGAAGTAGCTATTCAGATGCAGGAGGTAGAGAGAGTTATTCAGATGAAGGATGAGAGTCCATTTATGAGCATGGCTGAATTAAGGAGAACCGTGGGAAGGGATGGTGCAATGAGGCTTGAAGAAGATGCGGAGGTTAAATAATGGAGAGCTCTGTGTACTGTGCAAAATCTTTTACTCTGGCTTAAGTCCAAGAATAATGCACCGAAGTCTTCTATGTGTGGGAGTGATCTCTTCCGAGGCTTTGGAAGTTTATTCTGTTTGCAGACTGGAGGGGTAAGAATAAAGGCAAGGAGATCCATTCAGAGGCAGTTGCAATGCTTCAGGACAGAGGGATGAAATAGTTGCTAAGATTAAATGGATCAGATAGTGTTTCAAAGTGGCTAAGAATAGCACAGAAAAACTTGGTTATGAATCCAGGCTCTGTCACTTACCAGCTGATGGTTTGGGGCAATTCCTTGCCTTATGTGTGTGTCAACTTGCTCACCTGTAAAATTGAGATAATAATAGGATGTACCCCATAAGATGTCACAGATTAGGTGCCTTGGGAAACAGAAGCCCAGAAAAAGAGTGTGCAGGAGGTGTGTTGTTCTTAGGGAATGAAAGAAGCAGGACTGGGCAGGGGAATGGGACCACTGGAGCAGGATGGTCCCCTTCACCAGAATCCTTTCAAATTGGGAAGGGAAAGGGGGTTTGCATTCGAACTTACACACTGACCAGGAATTCAAAGGGACTGCAACATGGGCTGAGGCCCTTCAGCCAAGGGTAAGTCCCAGAGTGGGTCTCAACTGAGAAGCTAACACTACGAACAGCTGGAGCACAACAAATGCTTCAGTCCTGGAGGGAGAATCCATGTGGCACTCCTCTATAGAGCCCCCATAGAGGACTATTGGGAGAAGTAAGTGAACTAATGTCTAAATGCTGCTTAGCAGATTCCTGCGTATCAAGTTAGCAATCAATGTTACCAAAAGGATGATGAGGCCTATAAAATGATGAGCCTTCCAGGATATATTTTGAAGTGGTTACAAACAAGGGGTAAAAAATAGTATATTTGATGTAAGATACTTTCTTTGAGTGTGGAAGAAAAAGGAAAAATGGATTTGGTAAATTTGCAAAAAAAAAGAAACTAAGGAAGATTAAAAAAAAACTGATGAAAGTAGCTATTTGTAGGGAATGTGTGTGCTTGGAGGGGGTATAAGTGTAGTTTCTCACTCACACAGGAGTTATATTTGAAAGGATAGGCACAATGTGGGAAAGCATCACGAAGGGAAGTCAGACTTCTATCTGAAACATTTTTTAAGTTGTTTCCATATTTAAATAAAAATACATGATCTTTTAAAAAATTACTCAAAACTCTAAAAACACCTAAAATTGAATACAAAATATTCAAAACATATAATAAAATGGTAAGACAAATGCATAGAAAAAAACTCATATTAAATGCTTTCACAATAAATTTACTTCATTTAAACTGAGAAAAAAACCCCACTGGAATAGAAAACAACTTTGTCCATACACATTTAGAAGAATGATGTTTAGGATAAGAAATAACAAAATTAAATTTACTAAGTAATTTTTGTTAAAAGTAGGGTTTTTCTTTTTTTTTTAAAAAAAGTAGTATTGCTAAAGAAGTTTTATTTGTTAATATTTTGAAACTAGTTTCTTTTCATCGAGGGACTATATAATTAAGAAATTGTGTTAATGATGTTAAGAATCAAGATTTTTTGGTTAAGAAAAAAGAAATACAATAAGAAATTAGAGAAATGGAGAAAAATACTAAGATGTTAACATTGAATTGAAAGTACCAACATAAACCAATGGGTTTTGAAAATCCCTGTCATCTAGCTTTTTCCAGAAAAAGGGCCTGGAAGCAACATTGATCCAATAAAGTTGAGGGCCCATAGAGACCAGAGTTTGTTTTAAAATATGATTTTCCACCTAAGGAATTAGGCTTTTTTCAGAAATGAGTGATTCCAGTTCTAGGACAAGGAAGGTACAAGGCAAACCTGTAGTTTCTTATATCCATTTGTATCCACTCCTAGATATCTAACCACAAGAAATGAAACATATGTCCTCAAAAAAGGACTTCTTCATAGATGCTCTATTTATAACAGCAAAAAAAGGACTTCTTAATAGATGTTTTATTTATGACAGCTAAGACAACTAAAATCTAGGTTATTTTGCTCAGTATAATGTCAAGTGTATTGCTGCACATGTCAGTCATTTTGTTACTTTTTATTGGCAAGTAGTATTCCATTATATGAACATAACACAGTTTACCTAGTCACCTTTGGATGTTTTGTCAGATAAGCAGAATTAATTTAAGTAATGTAGATCCACAGTACCTGATTCCATTTACATGGCATTCTAACATAGTCAAAAGTAATTTAAAGGGAAAAAGATCAGAAAAGGGGTTGTGTAGAATTGATTGGAAAGGAACATGAGGGTACTCTCTAGGGTTGTTGAATATGTTTAATAACTTGAGAGGTGTAAGGACTAAGTATCTGTATACATTTCTCAGAACTCACGGAATTATACTCTTAAAAATTTGCATTGCCCTTTATGTAAATTTTACCTTTATAAAGGAACTATAAACACATAGCAATCCCTAATTAGTAGGTTTGCTTTTTTCACAGTAGTATGTATTAGCAACTCTGAAAGACCTGTGTTTTTTAGGCTTGAACAAATGAGAAACAAATTGAGAATAAAGAGAGATAGGTTTCTCACTGTTGGAAAAGGAAAGTACAAAATCAAAATGGGGGAAGACTAGTATACACTCTACCTTGTTGGGCTCTATGTTATATGTGTAGAATATATACTATGTATTATTGAATGGAAACTATAAATATCCATATCAATTTATAGTTTTTAATAAAATATAGAGAAAAAAATCTACCTAGATGAGTGTGTATGTGTCTGTCTGTGTTTATATTATGTGTAGTGGCTCTATCCACTACACTTTCTCCAAGCTGGAATTATGTTTCTCACAATTTTCTTTTATGAACGTTTACGACAAGGTCAGCCAGTGGAAAAGCTGAGTGGGATTTGAAAAGCAGAAATGGAATAGTAAGCATTTTTATTTCTTAAAGGTAACTTAGGGCAGGGATGTTGTGGCTCACTCACATTGTCGCTGACCTCACCTTGTTTGTATGACGGGTGCAAATCTAGCCTCTGCCAGATCTCCTCCACCTGTTTCTCCTATTCCTGAGGAAGAGGTGTGTGCTTCTCCATGTTGAAGAGCACCCATTGATTATTCAGGGCACCCAATTGCCAAGGTTGGGGATGGGAAAAGAAAGAGGAGTTATGTTCTTGGTCTCCCCTACTCCATACCTATCTTCCTTCCCCAGTTACTAGCCCTGATGACTACACGCCCAACACCAGATGCAGAAGGTACAGACTTATATAAACAGTTTACCTGCTCCCAAGATTGTTTAAGATTGAATTTCTGTATTGATTTCTTTATTGTACATTACTTAAATTAATTCTGCTTATCTGACAAAACACTTACTGATAATCTGGTATTAGAAACAGTTCCAGAGGAACAAACTTTAGGAATAAGTTCCTTGGATTGCTTTTGGGTTATCTGAAATTGGAGCTCCGATTGGACTGGATTTAAAGGCTTTGCTGACCATATTTTCAGTGGGAAAGGGGACACTGTTGGTCCCTGACAAGCAATGGCAGCACAGTTATTTATTTATTTGTTTATTTATTCATTTAAAGACAGGTTCTTGCTCTGTTGCCTAGGCTAGAGTGCACTGGCCTGACCATGGCTCACTGCAGCCTTGACCTGCAGGCTCAAGAGATTCCCCCACCTCAGCTTCACAGGTAGCTGGGACTGCAGGCATGTGCCATCACACTTGGCTAATTTTTGATTTTGTGTGGAGATGAGGTCTTACTATGCTGCCCAGGCTGGTCTCAAACTCCTGATTTCAAGCAATTCTCCCACCTTGGCCTCCCAAAGTGCTGTGATTACAGGAATGAGCCACCACTTGTAGGTAATTGTCAGACAAAGTGCCTATAGAAGGCAAAGTTTTAGGTGATTGTGTAGTTCCTGCCCTAGAATATTTTTGTTAAAATAAGTAGTCTAATGGGTTTGTTTGGTTGCTTCTCAGTGCACGGGAGAGCTTGGAGAATAACAATAAGCAGATCACAGCCTTAAATTCTCAACTCAGTAATGTGAAAAACCTGAAAGCTTCTATGACGTCCCCAGTGTAAGCCCTTTTGTCTATAGCCACAGGGCTGAAATATAAAAAACAAACAAACAAACCTGAAGTTTAATCCTTTGGACAGCTAAATTATAATGCTAACCTAATTCTCATATTAGCTGGGTTTCTTTTGTAATATATTATGAAAAAGGGGAACCCCGAAAATGGAATAAGATGAAAGAACCAATGCAGATGGACCTGGAGACTTTGAACATGTACATTTTCCTAAGGACACTGAGGTGGTTAGTTTCTCCTTGACTGAAGAATCCTTACTGGTCTCCCCTGAGGTAACATTTCAGGGGATGGCTGATCCTCCTCAGAACATATCCTCCCCCAGCTTTCATTGCTTCCAGGGCTACAATGAGATTTGAGTCTTGTCAGGCCCCTGAGGATAAGTTAAATAGCATGACCCACGAAGAAGTAAAATGCACATCAAAAGGCTGACAATATTTTGCCAATGTATACTGACAGAAACCTAGGTGACATGTCTGGGAATGTAACCTAAGTGCATTGTTTCAGGGCTGTCAGAAGAAATAAAATGTTGGGCTATGATGAATTCATTAATATGGCTTTATGAAACAGAGACTCTGGATGTAATGTGTTAGTGTTAATGGTTGATATGACTCTAACAGTATGCTTTATGTGTTGACAGAACCCTGGAAAACAGGTGACCTACACTAAATGAAGATAAAATGCCACTATTTATTGGTATACTGTAGAAGAAAGAATCTAAAGGCTTACGGACATCAGAACGTTAGAATAAACTTAACATGGAAGACCTGCTCCTCCACTCTCTGTCTCCCAGAGGAAGTTCCAGGTAACATTACCTTCACCAAGGCTGTGAAAAATATGCTTGATTTGGGAACCCTGATATCGAAGATCCAAGACATCTTTGGTGTTGTCTAATTTATCGTAGCATCAACAGAACCGCAATAGAAAGGCATTCCTATTAAGGTCTTATTTGAATTGCATCAACAAAAAGTTTTAGGTCTGGCATGGTAGACTGACTAATGGACCCTCCCAAAGGTGTCCATGTCCGAATCACTGGAACCTGTGAATTTTACCTTATATGGAAAATAGGACTTTGCAGGTGCGATCAAGTTTAGGGTCTTAAGATGGGGAAATCATCTGGATTATATGAATAGGTGTGATGTGATCACAAGAGTCCTTGTAAGAGGGAAGCAAGAGATCAGATTGGATAATAAGAGATATGACAATGGAAGAAAGAGGTTGAAATGCTACAAGGAAAGTGCCACAAGACAAAGAAAGCAGGTACCTCTAAAAGCTGGAAAAGGCAAGGAAACAGATTATCTCCTAAAGCCTGCAGAATGAATGCAGCCCTGCTGACACCTTGATTTTAGACTTCTGACCTCCAGAACTATAAGAGAATAAATAAATGTGTTTTAAGCAACTAAGCTTATGGTTATTTGTTATAGCAGCAATGGGGAACTAATATACCTGGTGAACAGAAGTCTGACTTGAATTAACACCACAGAGAATCACTGCCCTCAATCATGTCCAAGACTTGAGCCAGTTATAGGCTCAGAGCCCTTTGAATGAAAATGAGGACAGATTCCTATGAGGAAGGACCCTGTTACATAGCCACACATGTATACTATACATCTTTCTTTTAGCCTTTCCAAAGAGACTTTTGGACATTTACCAGGATGAGTATGCACTGGGAGATGAGAAATACTCAAAGGTTTCAGGGATTACTGGACACTGTGTCTGAAGTAATACTAATTTCTAGAATCCAGGGACACTGTGGTCCACCAGTCAGTGTAGAAGCTTATGGATATCAAGTTTATGGAGTTTTGTCTTGGGTTCATCTCACAGTGGGCTCAATGGTTTCACAAAACCACCTGCCTGCCCCTCTTCCCTAGTTGAGAAATGAATATTTGAAAACAAATATACTCAGCAACTGGCAAAAACTCCAAAGTGGTTACCTGGCTTGAGCAATTGTGGTAGAAAGGATAAACTGGAAGCCATGAGAGAGTTCTATTTACAGAAAGCAATGCCCCGTTTCTAAAGGGACTGCAGAAATTAGCATCATCATCAAAGACTTGAAAGATTCAGGAGGTAGTGATTCCCACTTCATCCCACTCAGCTCACCTATTTGACTTGCAAACGACAGATGGATCTTGGAAAATGACAGTGATTATTGCAACTTAATCACATGGTAACTCTAATTGCAGTTGTAGGAAATCAACACAATGCAGCTATTGATCTGGAAAATGCTTTTTTTCTCTTTGCTCTTTAATAAAGACCATCAGATGCAGTGTTTACTGGGTCAACTTAGCTAAATTGGAGCTACATTTCCCCCAATATCCCTCTTTAAATGTCTTAGCTAGGATTGGCCACAGAGATACTTATGTGTGATCTGAAAATTCAGTGTAGGGCACAGATGATTACAGTTCATACATGTGGCTGTTGATTTAATGGCAGAAGCAAGGATGCACTGAGGGAGGCAGCAGCCAGGCTGGCAGCAGCTACACCTTCTACTGCATCTGCTCTTTACCTTTTCTCAATCCTGGGTCAGGTAAATGTGCAGCTCCATGGTTTGAGCACCAGATTTTTCTGCCTCATCACTTTAGAGGCAGTGACAGACAGATGCAGTTCCAGATTGTCCAGATTTATTATAGTTTTCTTTGGTCTTCCCCTGTCTTCCTCACTTCACATTCATTTCTCATTACCAGTCTTGCCTGGAGCTGGATGCTCAAGCAACAGATTTATATAAATTCTCTGAGCATCTCCTATGACTGTGTAAAATCTAATCTCTAATATACATCCTTGATTCTAGATGATGCATAATGGGTTTTCTTCCTTGATCAAATCCTGATTCTGTGTGTGTGTGTGTGTGTGTGTGTGTGTGTGTGTGTGTGTGTGTGGTTTCCTCGCTCTGTTCACTGAGTACCTAGAAGCAATAGTACCCAAGAAACAATGAGTATTTCTATTAATCAGAAATTGGTTTCTAAATACCATTCTTTACTAATAGGAACTAGGGCCCCTTTGAGAAAAGGACTGAAACATATTCTTGTACCATAAATTAAGGAAGTACTCAAAGAATGATGGCAAATGAATAAGAGAGCCAGCCTGAAGATGCTCCTATTGGTTAAAGCTGGGATAATTTGGCCATAAGAATAAGTCATAATAATAATGGATTATATAATCCATTAAATAGAATTAAAATCCATGAATCCATAGTAATATAAATAAATTTTAAAAAGCAAAGGGAAATCTTTTCCTTCTAGCAGAATGACAACTAATAAATAAAGGAAGAATAACGGGATTAGAAAATTTAGTGCACAGCACAATGAGTGGGTAAAGACTGGATGAGAAACAGGATATTTGCATAGCCTCAGATTGCCTGTCCCAAATTATGTACTAAATACAAATGGAAAAAATATTAACATTACAATAGAGAAACCTGGCAGTAACCATCTTGAACAGTGATCAAAGTCAGTTTCACCACCATTAGGCAAACCAACAATATGTCTCTTATAATATACTGCATTCACAAGAACACAAACTCACTTCAGTGATATTTATGCCAAACAAGAATATTTAATTATGATGAAATATCAGATACACCCAGATTGGAGGACAGTTATTTGGACAAAATAACTGGTCCATACGCTTCACATATATCAAAGTCCAAAAAGCCAGGGAAAAGTTGAAAACCAGTTTCAGATTCAGAAAGACTAAACTACATGAAAACTCAATGCAATGAATGATCCTGGATTAGATTCTAGGCTGAGAAAACAACAGCTATAAGAACTTATTGGGACAATTGGCAGCCTGAATACTGACTGTGGATTAGATAATTCTATTGCATTAATATTAATTTCCTGGTTTTGATAAACTGTCATATTAGTGAATATATTTTTATTAGAAAACACATAATGAATTATTTAGCTGTAAAGGGGCATGATGACTCCAGCTTACTATCAAATGGTTCAGAAAAAAACATATTTTAGGGGAACTGGTAAAGCAAATTAGACAAAATGTAAATAATTGTAGAATCTCAATAAAGAATATATGAAAGTTGGGTGCCTTATTAAGTTCTCTGTAAACTTGAAATAATATTAAAAATCTGTTAAAAAACATTCTGTTTCTGTAAAACAACCACAAAAATGGATGACTTAAAACAAAAACATTTATTTTGCTTATGAATCTTCAATGTGGATAGAGCTCAGTGGGGACATCTTCTTACTGCTTCCCTCAGAGTCAGCTGGGTCATCTGAAAGGCTGGAGGCTGAAATAACTGGTGGCTCCTTCACTCATATGTCTGACTGTCAGCTGTGACTTCACCTGGGGCTGTGACCAGAAACTACATGTAACTGTTCAATGTTTGCTTGCCTTCCCCATAGGCTTATGGGGCCACATCTCAAGGGCAAACATCCCTTGAGGATCAGGCAGCAGCTAAGTTGTCTTTTCTAAGTTAGCCTAGCAAGTAGTATTGTGTCACTTCTGCTGTAGTCATAGTCCCAGCCACATTTAAGTGGGAGGGAATGCAGAATGCACCTCTTGTTGAAGGAATGCCAATGTTACATTGAAGAAAGAGCATCCAGGTACGGGATAAACTGTTGTGACCATTTTCAGAAAACACAATTTGCCACATACACACACACAGACAAAACAACCAAGTACAGGAAGGAAGGAAGGAAGGAAGGAAGGGAGGGAGGGAGGGAGGGAGGGAGGGAGGGAGGGAAGGAGGGAGACAGGGAGGGAAGGAGGGAGGGAAGGAGGGAGGGAAGGAGGGAGGGAGGGAGGGAGGGAGGGAGATGGATCCCATTTAAAAAGACAAAGGAACTTAGAGCAGGGGAAATACAATTTTAGGAGTTTGAAGTACATCAAATCAATTATAATTTATGAATAAAATGATAGTTATGTAAGAGAAAACCAGAAAATCTTACACAACATACTGTGAATAAACTATTAAACCCATCCTGCAAATTGGTAACTAAAGGGTTAAGAAATAAGTATTTATGCTACTTTTCCAGCAGGATCTGATTTTAAAAATAAAGGGTGACCCATATTGATGAGGAAAAGCTCCACTTTGCCAAAAAAAAAAAAAATGCCAGTTTTAATGTAGATGAAATAATAGAATTTAAAAATCAACATCCTTCAACTCCTAGTGAAGTGTTTGGCACAGTCATGGTTACTATATGGTGTTAACACCAGTAGGTTTGTAATTAGTTTAAACTGGACATTAACATAATGGTAAAGTAGCATCATGCTAGATTATTGTCTGTTTCTTAAAAGAAAGACATAAATGCAAAATGGAGGTATCAGGTTGTTGTCATCCTAATCCAGTGCTGAAATTTAACTCAAGTAATGCTGGATTATCCAGATCAGGTACCCCTTGGTATGGGGAAATATGAAGTATATCACATCATTTATGTTGGATTCCAAATAAAAAATATAATTGGCAGTTTATGAGAAATACAGGAATTGGAGAAACAAGTTAAATGAAATCATGAAGAAACAACTTGACAAATCTGGGAGACGAGATATACTGCAGTATATCCCTGGCTGGGTCCTTCAAAATATCTGTGTCACAAAGTGGACTACTCAGCTAACTGCTTAGTCTAAACTACCATTATCCCTCAACAGGTAAGTGACTTCCCAAACAAAACAAAACAAAAAAACAGTGGTGGTGCAGTCATGCTAGGTTAAAAGATATTAAGAGACAGAATATCTAGATTCCAGTTATGATTCTGAATTGCATTCTGGTTTGCACAAGCCAAATTTAAAGCACATATTTAGGACACCAAGGAAAACCGGAATACAGAATTGCAATTACATAAGAAGAAACATAAGGACCTTGTAGGTTAGAGATCATGAACTGAAAAAAACAGATTACAAATAGCACTTGTAGTATAACCTTATTTTGATACACATATATGTATTTGCATATAATATTATTTTTACACATGTTGTTTGTATGTTCTAGCTTTCTACAATGTACTTTACTAATTTTATGATAAAATTTAAAATACGTAAGTAATACAAAGTAGGCTTACAAAGAAGTGGACAAAGTTCAAAAGGTGTTTAGAGATCAGCTTAAGCAGGATAGGGTGAAAAATGAATTTATGTGGGGTTTTGGGAAGAAAGACCAATGGTGCCCTTTAGATTTATGCTTTGAGCAGAGGGGCACTTGGCAATATTACTGACCGGGGAAGAAGTGGACGTTTGAGTGTGAAGGTCATTGTTGCAGGCCAAGAGAACGAGGGTCGTGATCAACTCAGTATACCACTGGAGGCTATATGAGTAAACAGCAAACAGTTCTCATGAAAGCAGGATGTTGGCAAACTGACAAACTGCGTCTGCCACCCAGAAGGAATGCTGAGGGCAGTCACGTCCCAACCAGAGTGTTTCTTTCTCTTTTTTTTGGAGATGAAGTCTCGCTCTCGTCCCCCAGGCTGGAGTGCAATGGTTTGATCTCGGCTCACTGCAACCTCTGCCTCCCAGGTTCAAGCAATTCTCCTACCTCAACCTCCCGAGTAGCTGGGATTACAGGTGCCTGCCACTATGTCCAGCTAATTTTTGTATTTTTAGTAGAGATGGGGTTTCTCCATGTTGGCCAGGCTGGTCTTGAACTCTCGACCTCAGGTGATCCGCCCACCTCGGCCTCCCGAAGTGCTGAGATTACAGGCGTGAGCCACCGCACCGGCCAGTGTTTCTTGTGATTAGGCAAATCTGAAGCCTGTTAGCAATAAGGTGAACCTGTGATCAATCAGGCAGCTGACTAATTGTTACTTCCTCATCCCTGCTCTTTCTACCCAATAAATACAAAGGGCTGTGGAAGCTCAAGGCCTGCTTTTGCTGACTAGAAGCAGGGAGCTCTCTTTTTCTTCTCCTGGCCCCTTCCTTTAAAACAGTTTCTTTCGTCTTAAGTGTTCATTTCTACATTCGTCCCCCTTCGTTCAGTCTCATAATGACAGTCTCAAGTAGTAACAGTAGTAACTGTCCTAGTGACGGTCTCAAGTAGTAATTGTGGCAGTCAGCCACAGGTCATTACTTCAGTTTTGCATATATTAGATTTGAGAACTCTGTGATATATCCAGGTAGAAATGTCAGAGAGGCACTTGGATAGTAATAATAATAATAATAATAATAGTAATTCCCAAATAAGACCTGTGGCCCAGTTCACTCCATAGTGTTGTGGGTAAAAAGTCATAGTTCAATGGCCACCAATAATTTTAAGATAGTCTAGTCTTTATTACTCCTTTTAACACCAGAAGGTACTAATTCAAAATGCAAAGGTATTTTTAAAAATCCCCCTTTCTCTCCTGTCATTATTCTTATACCCTGCAGCTATTCAGAATCCTTTCCTTCTCTTAATCTCTCACTTTGTAAAAAAAACAGACAAACTCTCTTAGACCCAACTCCACCAAATGTATGCAGCTCCTTTTTCTCTCACAATTACAACACCTTATTCAGTGTGAATAGTCTCCATCACCTACTTCCCTCTGCATTGTTAAAAGCCCTCCTAAAAAGAGTTTCAGGGATCCTAGGGTAATAGAGGTTGCTCTCTGTGTCTTCTGAACCCTTTGTTCATCTTCCTAGGCAGGACAGCATCTCTCTTTCACTATAAATGGATTTTCTTATTCTAGGTGAATTTGTAGAGATTTTATGATGAAGAAATTATTTATTACAAAAGTTACTATTTATAATAAATACTTACTACAGGCCAAGCATTGTACTAAGTGCTTTACATATATTACTTCACATTTAAAACAACTATTTAGTGTTACTCATCTCATTTTTGAAGGAGAAAATCAAGCTTACGAGAAGTTAGATCTTTCAAAATGTGACTGGTGAACTAGGAATTGAGCTCAAGTTTTTCTTTTGCCTAAATTTAGTATAATCATCGTGCTCACTGCTTAATCCAAACTACCATTATCCCTCAACTAATAAGAGGCTTCCAAGAATATTCAGCTCAGCTGTTCACTCCAGCAAATTTCTTCCTGACATCTAAGAATACTTTTTCTCTCATCTGTAGGTATGGAGCCCAGGAGTAAGAGAATGTATAAAAGAACAGATGAACAGATTTGAGGTAGGTTGGCAAGAAGGCAGTAATTGAAAAATTAAGGATTGGCTGAGGTATCTTAGGGCAAGAAAATAAACCCAAAATACACAGACAAAGCAATATAAACATTAAAAGATCTGGTAGAGGAAAAGATATTGGCAAAGCTACCTGGAAAAGACACATCAAGGAAGCCACAGAGTTTCATCAAAGAGGAAATGATATAGCAATATACAGACTGAAAATATGCATTTGGATGGTTTCTATCAGCACCATTGGTGACATGTAAACAGGATTTCTGTTGAAGGAATGGACCAAAAACCACATAGGCGTAACACACCTCCATGACCTCCTTCAGTCTCCCAACATAACACTATTCTACTAAGCATATAGATCTTTTCAGATAGGTGGAGAAATCTTTGCAGGGAGCTCCCAATTAGATCGCATACACATGAAAATTGCAAAGGGATTTCTATAAAACATAAACTGTGTTGCAAAATATCATTAATTATGTAATCAGGACAAAGTTGAATAGAATTTGAAAAATAAAACTATTATAAACAACTGGATGCAATCACTCTCTTACCATGAAGACTTTGGAGGTATATATACACAATAAAATCTCACAAAAATGACAGCTTGGTGTTGCCAAATGAACTTAAGAGAAACAGGAGCTAATTGAAAAAAAAAAAACCCTCATTTATATGTTCCATATAAACCAGGGGACATTATACACACATGTGTGTGTGACAGTGTGTGTTTGTGTTTGTGCATGTGTGTGTGGGTGTATCCATGTATATTGATGAAAATTTTATAGGGAAGAAACATAAGATAATAAAAATAAATTCTATGGGGAAGAAAATGTTTAGCATTTCTTTGCAATTTGCCAGATGTTTCCTGAAAATTTGTCCTCTTCCCATCTCTGTCAAGTTAATCATTTCCAGGGGGCCAAGCTCCAATGAAAAGTGAAATTAACTTCCAGAGACAATTGCATTGAAAAAATAACAGCAATCACTCATATTAACATTACGAGTAATCACTCATATTAACATTACGATCATAACAATACTACTAATTTTAAAGCATATTTTTTATTCAGAACTATTGAATATTGAGGTAGATTGAATGGCGAGGTAAGTATGCTTGTATTTACCATATACCTTAAAGGTTTACCCTCCTTGAAATACGGTGCATCATACTGGTAGTTGACAAATGGAGAAATCTTCATGGATAATACAAGGGTCGTAATAGCTAAGTAAAAAAATACCTGTCTGGAAGTTAGAAAAAAACATTTTCAGCATCTATGCTATAAGATGTATAAGAAAACCCAGAATTCTGTGTCTTTATTGTATCTTTCAACCAGAAATCAGTCAATGTTGAAGGTCTCTTTAGTACTCTGATGACTATAAGGAAGATTCGGCAGAAGGAAACAGACAGCATGTGAAGTGTGTACTCTGAGAAGGAGGAGGCATTGCCAGCCATTCCCTATCACTTGCTAAAAATCTGTGAATCACAGAAGCATCTTTAACAAAGTAAGATGAAGGTAGGATCCATCACATGAGATATTTAGACCTGGCTTAATATGGCAATCTACTTATTGGAGACTATAAGGGCACGATGGCAAAGGGAAAATAAACGAGCTATTAAAATAAGAAAAATAATTTCAACATCCCGTCATTTTTAATATGAGCTAAACTTGAGTTCAGGGCACATATGTCTGTTATAAGCATGCATTTTATCATTTAATAAGTCCAAACGAAAATTGTTTAATGCAAGAACTTATAGGACAGCTCATGCAAATGGAGGAAGCAATCAGATTCAAAGAGCTGTTATACTCATGTTTTGTAGTGTCTGTAATGAACTGAAATGCAAAACAGACACTGCACAGTTGTTTCCTGGTCCATTTCAAATCACTAAGCCAGAGACACATCTTGTCAGTGAAGGGGAACCAGCACTATATCATATACTCCTTCAGGTTTAAGACAGCATGTTGATGTGGAACTCATGTGATATGTTTTCCTTCTGCCCAGAAACAAACAAACAAAAAGTAAAATACTGAAAGTCCAGTTTAATTCAGATAAATTTAATTCTGCTAACAGATACATTTGAATGGGTTGTTTCAAATGGATCTGTGTGATTTAGTACTAATGTGTCCAGTGATTTTTAGAATGCATTGGCATCTTTATCTTACCTTTTGTAAAGATAAATAATTTCTCTTGGTGAAGCTCTTTGAAGCCCTTGGAAAATACTGACTAAAGTTCAATATCTGATTATTTATCTTTTTATCTAGGATCATGGTTTCCAAAATGTAACTCTACAGATTGTGGACCATATGTTTTCAAGTACAGAACTATTTTCCAAAAGTATTCGCTTCTTATGTTCAATAATAGAATTACTTGTCTGCTGGATACCATGCAATTTTGTTATGCAAGTATAATAAATTTTAAAAGCTGACATTTGTCTCTTTTAGAAAGAATAGTTTCATAAATGGAGAAATAGGATTTGTAAATTTAACCTTTTAAGGCTGGGACCTGTGTCTATGGCTATTAAAAATAAAATAAGATGAAGTGCAAATTGATAGAGTGGCTTAGCCATGACATTGGATCAAAAAGAGACGGTTTGACTACAAAGGTACTACAATAGAGAATTTTTTCACGTTTTGGAACTTTTGGAATTTTTATCATGACATTGTGATGATTACATGAGGCTATAGTCCTTTAAACTCATTAAACTGCATTAAAAAAACCTCACTATAGATAGATAGATACATGATAGATAGATAATAGGAGTATAGAAGCATATGCATGGATACACACATTTTAAAACATATTGAATACTAAAATATGTAAATTTATTTATATATGAATTATACCTCAATAATATTGCTTAAAATATGATCTTATCATTTTCTATATATTCAGACTTACAAAGCTACAACCTAAATAACTGGTCATGCTTCTGTTATAAAAAGAACAAATAATTTTTATATAATGTACACGATACAATGGCTTTGAACAGTATCAAATATATGGTCTCACACTTTAAAATATTTGGTAATTTTGAATAAGACAGCCAAAATAATTGATCTGTGATAACTTTTTAAATTAATTGGAATAATATCCATTTTTCTATTTTTCAGATGAGTCTCTTAAACTTAGTCCTCAGGCCTTTTTTTTTCATATTTTAGAACTGAGAATTATTACTGGAAAATCATCTCCAAATTCAACTTTAGAAAAAGACTTCTATTTACATTAACTGAGTCTTCTCATATATAACAAAACGACTCAAGCAATGCATTTCTACTTGCTGGTAAATAATATTTGTGTGTTCTTGCCTATATTGTTTGCCTTTTGATGACAATTTTTTTCACTACTTTTCTATTTAAAAACTACTACATATCATCATTTGTGTGGGACACTAGAAGGTCAGTTGGCACCACTGACATTTTATATCACCTAAGTTCTTATTTTCATTAGATATGATAATTGAAATGGCACTTTTCTTTATTAAAACATTTTCACGTTGAAGCATGAAAATCTTATTTTATTAATTTTTAAAAACTAAAGCTCTCATCCATAAATGTTTTTTAATTGCAAATTATCACTGCAAAAGATAAGTTGCATGTTCATAAAATAATTCAAATGAACACAATTGAAGAAAGAGGATGCTGTTAAGATGAGATGTCAATTAAAGGCCAACCAGTGGGCCAAAAAGAACATTTTGGTAAAAGTTTTATCTGCATAAATTTCTAGTTGGAGAATTATCTATCAATTGGTGTGTTCATTTATAAGGCTTGTGTGTGTGTGTGTGCGTGTGTTTCCAAAGTTTGTCGGTAATGGTCATTACATTTTATAATTATTATATATCTATGATTTGGCTTTTTTATATTTGTCACTTGGATACTCTAAACTGGGCATTTCACTTAATTTTCATTTATTCAAATATTACTGAGGCTGAGTACTTCTTTTCCATGCATTTATTGGCCATTTGTATTTCTTCCAACTTGCAAATTTTAATGATAGTTATTGAGTATCTACTGCAGTGAATAAAACAACCATTTCTACCTTCCTGGAGCTTTCATTCCAATAAAGGCATAATCACATTTTTAATGACTTTCTGTTGGTACATTAATTATTAATATTTTAACATTTAGATAAATTAGTATTTGTTATTTGATTTTTGACCATTAAATTTATATATTCTTTTATCCATTAATGTCTCTTCATGATAGTTTCTGAGTTACATATTGGTGTTTAGAAATATGTTTTCTACCTTATATTTATCTGATGATTTCTTTTTTTTTACTTTCTTTTTTTTTTTTTTTTTTCAGACGGAGTCTCGCTCTGTCGCCCAGGCCGGACTGCGGACTGCAGTGGCGCAATCTCGGCTCACTGCAAGCTCCGCTTCCCGGGTTCACGCCATTCTCCTGCCTCAGCCTCCCGAGTAGCTGGGACTACAGGCGCCCGCCACCGCGCCCGGCTAATTTTTTGTATTTTTAGTAGAGACGGGGTTTCACCTTGTTAGCCAGGATGGTCTCGATCTCCTGACCTCATGATCCACCCGCCTCGGCCTCCCAAAGTGCTGGGATTACAGGCGTGAGCCACCGCGCCCGGCCTTTTTTTTTACTTTCTTGTCAATTTTGCCACAGTAAAAGTTATTATATTACATGTGATGAGATACATTCCAAATTAAAAAAAAAATCCTCTGATATTCAACTAATTGTACCAGTATTTCAATTGATTGATCTTTCCTTCTCCTACTGACTTAAAATGACTGTTTTATAATGTATCACATTATGTTAAATGTAAGCATCTGTATGTGGGATACCTCTTTATTTGCATGGACTTATATATTCTTCCATTCATTCTCTATCTATTTAATTACCTAGCATCATTACATACTTCAATATCTATTCACACCTTATAATTCTTCTTTTAAAAGAAACAAAACTATGTTAACTAAACTTGCCCATTTTTAATTTTCATTAAAGTTTAAAAAACTTTACAATCTCCTAAGAGGAATTGTGTTAGGATTTTTACTTTGAATTATATAAAAACTATTTTTAAATGCTAACCAGTGGTCACTACTAAAGTATTTAGCATTCCCAACTAAAAATATGATATAGCTCACTTTTTAGTTCACATATTTTAAATTTCAATAAATTCTAGAGTTTATTCATATATATCCTACAGAGTTTTGGTTCAATTTTTGGTGTTTTGTATTTTGGGTTGATAATACACATGCAGTTATTTTTCCATTATATTTTCTAATTGACTATTAACACATTTTTTAAAATTCACATCAGATCCCACCCCCAGAGGCCCTCCCTGCACCCCACCCAATGGATTGGATAAATTGGACTTTGTGATCATGAAATGTTTTCTAATGTTGATCCTTTTTTATTTTTCTTTACTAAATATTATGTACTCATGGGCTTTAGAAACCATTCTGGTTTACTGCCATTCAAAGATAACCTTTTTCATATTAGTTATTGATAAATATTTGTTTTTTAATTTGAAAAGTTTAATCTTCCAGTTCCTTCACATGGATAAATCTGTGCTACTTTTCAGGTTACAGATTTTCAGTCCAAATAGTGCAAGCTGTTTATAAACGGCAAAGCACTGCAACCAATTAGCCTGCATGATATATGTCATTACAAAAATGAAGATAAAGCTTTTAGGCAAACAAACAAAAAGAAACTTTCCCTGGGTTTAACATCTCAAGTGTCTATATAAGCTTAATTAAAGGCATTGGGATGAGGGGTGCATAAAGGCATTTATAAGACTTCATTTGGGTTTCCATCTGTCTTCTTATTTTCTTCTCACACACTGTCACAGTTACTCAAAAATAAGGCTTTGAAAGTAAAGCTGAAGCTGTGCAAAGAATTTCTAACATAATGGAAAAATCAGTAAAAACCTGTCTTTTTTTGTCTTGCTTCTGATTGAGTTATCACTACACAAAATTTGTTCCTTCAGGGTTTAAAAAAATTAACACTGCATTTTACTACGAATTCCAACTGAGACAAACCTGGACCTATTTCCACATTGATTCCCAGCCCAGTCAGTTATGTTTCTCAAGGATTTTTATAAATAGATTATAAATTTCCATGTAGAGTACCAACCCAATCAGTTATCTTCTCAAGGATCTTTATTAAATAAGTTATTGAACAAATTGGTCTTATTAGAATAATTATCTTTCATCTCACTCAGGCTCCTGTTCACAGAATCTAGGGACAGAGTTGAAACAACAAGGGTAAATTGGAATGGGATTCAGAATGCAGTGTTTGGTTTACCTCAGAAAAATAACCCTAATCTATGTCTGCTCAAAAACCTAGGTTTTAATACTAAAGCAAAATATAGGAAAGTGGGTACCCTTAGCAATTACCTAATGAATTCACTCACTCAACAGTAAAACTGGGTCATTCAGGGTAAACTTTACTATATGTTTAGCACTTTTTTTTTGTATTTTATAAAATCATAGTTGGAAGGAACATTTTATCCACTAACATCATAGCCCTTGAAAGGTAGTCTCTCCAATTGACCCTTGCTACATGTCTATTTTACATAATGACACAGAATTATTCAGTGAGAAAAATGTATATAGTAATAAATTTCAAGGATAGGCATACAACGTATTCCATTTAGTTCAATACTTGGTGAATAGCTCCTGTTAGACCAGGTGTAGGGATCGATATGTGAGGCACAAAGATGAACAAGAAAACATTCCTTCACTCAAGGAGTAAATAATCCTATGTAAGGTCAGACATAGGGGTTGCAATTTGCTTTTGACCACAGGCTGTGAGAAGATGGAGATGAAAGCAGCACACTTCTGAAGGTTCTGGAAGGCTTCTTAGCTCTATAGCATAGGCCCATAAAAAGTAGGTATACATGTCACCATCTTCATCCCAACTGTAAAGCCATCACTCAGAAGACCATGAAGTGTAAATGTTAGCCTTTTAAAGGATGTTATGTTTGCAAATTAAACTCTTAGGGAGAAATATTGAGTGCTGTCTGTATCCTTGGCTAGGCATTTTCTCAAGGCGTTCCACAAATCCCTTGGGTATATGACGTAAAATCTTGACTGTTCCTTTGTTTTCCTGCCCTAGTTTCCAAGCTATATCAAATCTCTCTCATGCTGAATTACAAACTCTTCCTATTTGGACCACTTGATCATAGGGTACCACGTTCAACTCCAAAGTCGGCTTCATAACACTTGAAAGGTGAGCTGGTCAGCACCCCTTAATGATCTGCAGTTTCAACATCCTATCCACCACTTCACCAGACTGTTACCTTCCCCAGACATGATTGACAATCCTCAGTATTTTCCAGCTGGACTGCTCCACTGATCTTGCTTTGAGCAGCCTACAGTTATGCAGTATCCCTCACCCTAGACTGGTTTCATCAGTCTGGGTAAGGAAAGGAAATTTCTGAACACTTTTTGGAAGCATGACCTAACTCCAACCTATTTGTTGACATCAGACAATTTTCTAAACATGTACATGGTGGCCTCCTTCAAACTAATCAACTAAGAATCAGGTAAAATTAAAATCTTTTAAAAATCTTTTCTTTTCTAAACTATTTTTAGAAATAAATTTTCAGAGTTATGATACATTACTTTGAACGGCAATTAGAGTGAAACGTTTTTATTCTTGATTTGATTAGATATTTAACCATCAAGCTTGATAAAACTGATATTTTGGATAGAAGGGAAGTCTGATCATAAAATAATGGCAATGTTTGTATTACTTGACAATGTTTGGGTGTTATTTGCAAACTTCTTCTAAATTAGCCTTTTTAAATTGGTTTGAAAAAAATGTAAGAATGTTAGAATTTTTACTGAAAACTCAAATTGAATAATTAAGAAACAAATATGGAGAAGTACTATACTGTTTTAAAAAACAGCCTTATCTTAGAAAACTACACCCCAGTTGCAATAAACACACCTAACTCCCAGATGTTGGTTTCTAATACCATTCTCCACAGAAAGAAAACAGAGTTCTTTGGAGAAATGGCTGATTCCAGGAATTAGGCATGAAAAATTCCAGAAGAGCCTGCAGAATGCCAGAAAATAAGGAAATGGGGAAAAACAAAATAACAACAACAATAATACAGAGCCAACTACCAACTAACCAAACAAACGAAATTCTGAAGGGGTTCCCAATAGCCAAAGCTGGAACTATTTGAGTAACAAAATGAAGTAGTGTCAGAATATAACAAAAATATATATCCATGAGTCCATACTGATACAAATAGATGACTGAATAATTTCGGAGAGAACAGACGTGTTTCCCTTGGAGAATAATTCCAAATAATTTATGTAGCTATTCAAGGAAGCAGAACATAACTCCTCATTCATTAAAGTGTTAGCTTCACATAGTGATTTTCTTCCAAGGAGACACTATGAAATGGGAGAGAAAAGAGTGGTTTTACAATGGAGAAACCTACAAAACACTATTATTCTTCCGCTTTTCATCATTTTTACCTATCCCCTTTTCTATTCCAGTATCCCATCCAGGATATCGCACTGCATTTATTTTTCTTATTCCTAAGGCTTTTCTTGGCTATGACAATTTCTCAGAGTTTTCTTGTTTTTGATGACCTTGCAAGGATGTGAAAGAATAAATACTGTAAAAGCAACATTGGTGTAACCGAAATCATTTATTCAGAAGACATTGGAAAGCAAGAAATTGAATTTTCAGACTAAGAATCAGAGGATAAGCGACATGTTCATTTGGATGATAGAACAAAATCATTTTCAATCTGGGACTTAATTTTAGTTTGGTTCATAAGTAATTTACCATTGAATATGTCTTAAAATAACTTTGCTAAGTTGTGTTAGCAAACTTTTAAGATATTTAATTTTTAATTCTGGTAAAAACATATTCAGCAATATTATTGTTTGATAATTTGAACTATTATAGAATTTGCATTCTAAGA
The DNA here is from genome assembly GCF_000001405.40 of Homo sapiens. NCBI lineage: Eukaryota > Metazoa > Chordata > Mammalia > Primates > Hominidae > Homo > Homo sapiens. Next base: position 23,057,607 of record NC_000006.12, read on the forward strand.
ATATTTTGTAATATCTTCAAGATTAAGCTAAAATTCACGCATGTCAAACCATATCCTAAAAAGAAAATTAATTATTACCAGAATTTTCACAAGGTGTTCTGGAAAATAATGTGATGTTTTCAAGCTTTTAGAGGTTATATACAATACTTATATGCTGAAATACCTTAATACGCCACTCAAAATGCATATTTCTTAACTATAGAGTAGCTTTCTAATCTGTTAGACTCTGGACTACTGAAATATAAAAAGTATATATGAAACTAAATGATACTTTCCTTTTTTATGATATAATACATAGTGATATGGTTTGGCTGTGTCCCCATCCAAATCTCATCTTGAATTGTAACTCCCATAATCCCCATGTCTTGTGGGAGGGATGTAGTGGTAGGTCATTGAATCATGAGGGTGAGTTTTTCCCGTGCTGTTTTCATGATAGTGAATAAGTCTCATGAGATCTGATGGTTTTATAAAGAGAAGTTCCCCTGCACATGCTCTCTTGCCTGCTGCCATGTAAGACATGCCTTTGCTCTTCCTTAGCCTTCTGCCATGATTGTGAGGTCTCTCCAGCCATGTGGAAGTGTGAGTCCATTAAACCTCTTTTTCTTTATAAATTACCCAGTATTGAACATGTCTTTATTAGCAGCTTGAGAACAAACTAATACACATGAAAAATATAATTATGTTAATTTTCAAGTTTTTAAAAAAAATTCTTAAATTCTGTTTCTCACTTTCTATTCTGTCTCTTCGTAATTTGTAAGAAAACATATTTATTGGTGGAGCCAAGATGGCTGAATATGAGCAGCTCCAGTCTACAGCTCCCAGTGTGAGTGACGCAGAATATGGGTGATTTCTGCATTTCCAACTGAGGTACCGGGTTCATCTCACTGGGGAGTGCCGGACAGTGCGTGCAGCGTACTGTGTGAGCCAAAGCAGGGCGAGGCATCGCCTCACCTGGGAAGCGCAAGGGGTCAGGGAATTCCCTTTCCTAGTCAAAGAAAGGGGTGACAGACAGCACCTGGAAAATCGGGTCACTCCCACCCTAATACTGCACTTTTCCAACAGGCTTAACAAATGGCACACCAGGAGATTATATCCCGCACCTTGCTTGGAGGGTCCTATGCCCATGGAGCCTCGCTCATTGCTAGCACAGCAGTCTGAGATCAAACTGCAAGGCGGCAGTGAGGCTGGGGGATGTGCGCCCACCATTGCCGAGACTTGAGTAGGTAAAAAAAAGCGGCTAGGAAGCTCGAACTGGGTGGAGCCCACCACAGCTCAAGGAGGCCTGTCTGCCTCTGTAGGCTCCACCTCTGGGGGCAGGGCACAGACAAACAAAAGGCAGCAGTAACCTCTGCAGACTTAAATGTCCCTGTCTGACAGCTTTGAAGAGAGTAGTGGTTCTCCCAGCTCGCAGCTTGAGATCTGAGAATGGGAAGACTGCCTCCTCAAGTGGGTCCCTGACCCCCGAGTAGCCCAACTGGGAGACATCCCCCAGTAGGGGCAGACTGACACTTCACACGGCCGGGTACTCCTCTGAGACAAAACTTCCAGAGGAACGATCAGGCAGCAGCATTTGCGGTTCACCAATATCCGCTGTTCTGCAGCCACCGCTGCTGACACCCAGGCAAACAGGGTCTGGAGTGGACCTCCAGCAAACTCCAACAAACCTGCAGCTGAGGGTCCTTCCTGACTGTTAGAAGGAAAACTAACAAACAGAAAGGACATCCACACCAAAAACCCATCTGTATGTCATCATCATCAAAGACCAAAGGTAGATAAAACCACAAAGATGGGGAAAAAACAGAGCAGAAAAATCAGAAACTCTAAAAATCAGAGCACCTTTCCTCCTCCAAACGAATGCAGCTCCTCACCAGCAATGGAACAAAGCTGGACGGAGAATGACTTTGATGAGTTGAGAAAAGAAGACTTCACAAGAACAAACTACTTCAAGCTAAAGGAGGAAGTTCGAACCAATGGCAAAGAAGTTAAAAACCCTGAAAAAAAAATTAGACGAATGGATAACTAGAATAACCAATGCAGAGAAGTCCTTAAAGGACCTGAAGCAGCTGAAAACCAAGGCACAACAACTACGTGATGAATGCACAAGCCTCAATAGCCGATGCGATCAACTGGAAGAAAGGGTATCATCAATGGAAGATGAAATGAATGAAATGAGGCGTTGAAGAGAAGTTTAGAGAAAAAATAATAAAAAGAAACGAACAAAGCCTCCAAGAAATATGGGACTATGTGAAAAGACCAAATCTACGTCTGATTGGTGTACCTGAAAGCGATGAGGAGAATGGAACCAAGTTGGAAAACACTCTGCAGGATATTATCCAGGAGAACTTCCCCAATCTAGCAAGGTAGGCCAACATTCAGATTCAGGAAATACAGAGAATGCCACAAAGATACTCCTCGAGAAGAGCAACTCCAAGACACATAATTGTCAGATTCACCAAAGTTGAAATGAAGGAAAAAATGTTAAGGGCAGCCAGAGAGAAAGGTCGGGTTACCCACAAAGGGAAGCCCATCAGACTAACAGCGGATCTCTCAGCAGAAACTCTGCAAGCCAGAAGAGAGTGGGGGCCAATATTCAACATTCTTTTTTTTAATTTTTTTTAATTTTTAATTTTTTAATTTATTTTATTTTTTTTAGTACTTATTGATCATTATTGGGTGTTTCTCAGAGAGGGGGATGTGGCAGGGTCATAGGATAATAGTGGAGAGAAGGTCAGCAGATAAACACGTGAACAAAGGTCTCTGGTTTTCCTAGGCAGAGGTCCCTGCGGCCTTCCACAGTGTTTGTGTCCCTGGGTACTTGAGATTAGGGAGTGGTGATGACTCTTAACAAGCATGCTGCCTTCAAGCATCTGTTTAACAAAGCACAACTTGCACTGCCCTTAATCCATTTAACCCTGAGTTGACACAGCACATGTTTCAGAGAGCACGGGGTTGGGGGTAAGCTTATAGATTAACAGCATCCCAAGGCAGAATAATTTTTCTTAGTACAGAAAAAAATGGAGTCTCCTATGTCCACTTCTTTCTACACAGACACAGTAACAACATTCTTAAAGAAAAGAATTTGCAACCCAGAATTTCATATCCAGCCAAACTAAGCTTCATAAGTGAAGGAGAAATAAAATTATTTACAGACAAGCAAATACTGATTTTGTCACCACCAGGCCTGCCTTACAAGAGCTCCTGAAGGAAGCACTAAACATGGAAAGGAAAAACCGGTACCAGCCACTGCAAAAACATGCCAAATTGTAAAGACCATCAAGGCTAGGAAGAAACTGCATCAACTAATGAGAAAATAACCAGCTAACATAATAATGACAGGATCAAATTCACACATAACAATATTAACCTTAAATGTAAATGGGTTAAATGTTCCAATTAAAAGACACAGACTGGCAAATTGGATAAAGAGTCAAGACCCATCAGTGTGCGGTATTCGGGAAACCCATCTCATGTGCAGAGACACACATAGGCTCAAAATAAAGGGATGAAGGAAGATCTACCAAGCAAATGGAAAACAAAAAAAGGCAGGGATTGCAATCCTAGTCTCTGATAAAACAGACTTTTAATAAACAAAGATCAAAAGAGACAAAGAAGGCCATTACATAATGGTAAAGGGATCAATTCAAAAGGAAGAGCTAACTATCCTAAATATATATGCATCCAATACAGGAACACCCAGATTCATAAAGCAAGTCCTTGGAGACCTACAAGGAGACCTAGACTCCCACACAATAATAATGGGAGACTTTAACACCCCACTGTCAACATTAGACAGATCAATGAGACAGAAAGTTAACAAGGATATCCAGGAACTGAACTCAGCTCTGCACCAAGCGGACCTAATAGACATCTACAGAACTCTCCACCCCAAATCAACAGAATATACATTCCTTTCAGCACCACGCCACACCTATTCCAAAACTGACCACATAGTTGGGAGTAAAGCACTCCTCAGCAAATGTAAAAGAACAGAAATTATAACAAATTGTCTCTCAGACCACAGTGCAATCAAAATAGAACTCAGAATTAAGAAACTCACTCAAAACCGCTCAACTACATGGAAACTAAACAACCTGCTCCTGAGTGACTATTGGGTACATAACAAAATGAAGGTAGAAACAAAGATGTTCTTTGAAACCAACAAGAACAAAGACACAACATACTGGAATCTCTGGGACACATTCAAAGCAGTGTGTAGAGGGAAATTTATAGCACTAAATGCCCACAAGAGAAAGCAGGAAAGATCTAAAATTGACACCCTAACATCACAATTAAAAGAACTAGAGAAGCAAGAGCAAACACATTCAAAAGCTAGCAGAAGGCAAGAAATAACTAAGATCAGAGCAGAACTCAAGGAAACAGAGACACAAAAAACCCTTCAAAAAATCAATGAATCCAGGAGCTGGTTTTTTGAAAAGATCAACAAAATTGATAGACCGCTAGCAAGACTAATAAAGAAGAAAAGAGAGAAGAATCAAATAGACGCAATAAAAAATGACAAAGGGGATATCACCACCGATCCCACAGAAATACAAACTACCATCAGAGAATACTATAAACACCTCTATGCAAATAAACTACAAAATCTAGAAGAAATGGATAAATTCCTCGACACATACACCCTCCCAAGACTAAACCAGGAAGAAGTTGAATCTCTGAATAGACCAATAACAGGCTCTGAAATTGAGGCAATAATTGATAGCTTACCAACCAAAAAAAGTCCAGGACCAGATGGATTCACAGCCGAATTCTACCAGAGGTACAAGGAGTTGCTGGTACCATTCCTTCTGAAACTATTCCAATCAATAGAAAAAGAGGGAATCCTCCCTAACTCATTTTATGAGGACAGCATCACCCTGATACCAAAGCCTGGCAGAGACACAACAAAAAAAGAGAATTTTAGACCAATATTCTTGATGAACATTGATGCAAAAATCCTCAATAAAATACTGGCAAACCGAATCCAGCAGCAAATCAAAAAGCTTATCCACCATCATCAAGTGGGCTTCATCTCTGGGATGCAAGGCTGGTTCAACATACACAAATCAATAAATGTAATCCAGCATATAAACAGAACCAAAGACAAAAACCACATGATTATCTCAATAGATGCACAAAACGCCTTTGACAAAATCCAACAACCCTTCACGCTAAAAACTCGCAATAAATTAGGTATTGATGGGACGTATCTCAAAATAATAAGAGCTATCTATGACAAACCCACAGCCAATATCATACTGAATGGACAAAAACTGGAAGCATTCCCTTTGAAAACTGGCACAAGACAGGGATGCCCTCTCTCACCACTCCTATTCAACATAGTGTTGGAAGTTCTGGCCAGGGCAATCAGGCAGGAGAAGGAAATAAAGGGTATTCAATTAGGAAAAGAGGAAGTCAAATTGTCCCTGTTTGCAGATGACATGATTGTATATCCAGAAAACACCATTGTCTCAGCCCAAAATCTCCTTAAGCTGATAAGCAACTTCAGCAAAGTCTCAGGATACAAAATGAATGTACCAAAATCACAAGCATTCTTATACACCAATAACAGACTAACAGAGAGCCAAATCATGAGTGAACTTCCATTCACAATTGCATCAAAGAGAATAAAATACCTAGGAATCCAACTTACAAGGGATGTGAAGGACCTCTTCAAGGAGAACTACAAACCACTGCTCAATGAAATAAAAGATGATACAAACAAATGGAAGAACATTCCATGCTCATGGGTAGGAAGAATCAATATCGTGAAAATGGCCATCCTGCCCAAGGTAATTTATAGATTCAATGCCATCCCCATCAAGCTACCAATGACTTTCTTCACAGAATTGGAAAAAACTACTTTAAAGTTCATATGGAACCAAAAAGGAGCCTCATCGCCGAGTCAATCCTAAGCCAAAAGAACAAAGCTGGAGGCATCACGCTACCTGACTTCAAACTATACTACAAGGCTACAGTAACCAAAACAGCATGGTAGTGGTACCAAAATAAAGATATAGACCAATGGAACAGAACAAAGCCCTCAGAAATAATGCCACATATCTACAACTATCTGATCTTTGACAAACCTGACAAAAACAAGCAATGGGGAAAGGATTCCCTATTTAATAAATGGTGCTAGGAAAACTGGCTAGCCATATGTAGAAAGCTGAAACTGGATCCCTTCCTTACACCTTATACAAAACTTAATTCAAGATGGATTAAAGACTTACATGTTAGACCTAATACCATAAAAACCCTAGAAGAAAACCTAGGCAATACCATTCAGGACATAGGCACGGGCAAGGACTTCGTATCTAAAAGACCAAAAGCAATGGCAACAAAAGCCAAATTTGACAAATGGGATCTAATTAAACTAAAGAGCTTCTGCACAGCAAAAGAAACTACCATCAGAGTGATCAGGCAATGTACAGAATGGGAGAAAATTTTTGCAACCTACTTATCTGACAAAGGGCTAATATCCAGAATCTACAATGAACTCAAACAAATTTACAAGAAAAAAACAAACAACCCCATCAAAAAGTGGGTGAAGAATATGAACAGACACTTCTCAAAAGAAGACATTTATGCAGCCAAAAAACACATGAAAAAATGCTCATCATCACTGGCCGTCAGAGAAATGCATATCAAAACCACAATGAGATACCACCTCACACCAGTTAGAATGGCGATCATTAAAAAGTCAGGAAACAACAGGTGCTGGAGAGGATGTGGAGAAACAGGAACACTTTTACCCTGTTGGTGGGACTGTAAACTAGTTCAACCATGTGGAAGTCAGTGTGGTGATTCCTTGGGGATCTAGAACTAGAAATTCCATTTGACCCAGCTATCCCATTACTGGGTATATATCCAAAGGATTATAAATCATGCTGCTATAAAGACACATGCACACGTATGTTTATTGCGGCACTACTCACAATAGCAAAGACTTGGAACCAACCCAAATGTCCAACAATGATAGACTGGATTAAGAAAATGTGGCACATATACACCATGGAATACTATGCAGCCATAAAAGAGGATGAGTTCATGTCCTTTGTAGGGACATGGATGAAGCTGGAAACCATCATTCTCAGCAAACTATCGCAAGGACAAAAAACCAAACACCGCATGTTCTCACTCGTAGGTGGGAACTGAACAATGAGAACACATGGACACAGGAAGGGGAACATCACACACTGAGGCCTGTTGTGGGGTGGGGGGGAGGGGGGAGGGATAGCATTAGGAGAGATACCTAATGCTAAATGACGAGTTAATGGGTGCAGCACACCAACATGGCACATGTATACATATGTAACAAACCTGCACATTGTGCACATGTACCCTAAAACTTAAAGTATAATAAAAAAAAAGATAGCGCCAATGCACTCCAGCCTGTGTGACAGAGTGAGACTCCATCTCAAAAAAATAAATAAAAATACTGAAAATGAAAAAAGAAGAAAATATATTTATTAATTTTGTAGCTTTTTAAGTGAGATTGTTTTTTCAATCATGGAGAATAATATTGAAAACGCTTCCAAAAAACAGTATCTATTAAAAACTATCTATGTAAGATCTTCAATTTAAAAAAAGGACCTGTAATTGGCTGCAAAATGTGCAACTTTGTTTTTATTCCCATGACCTGTTGATGTCCAGATCAATGTTTTTTCTTGTAATGTAACTAGGAAGTGTAATGAATACACAATCTCATTTAATATTTATGAATCCAAAGCCAGTTTTTCTCCTTGAATTATAAATTGAGTGTAGCACATAATTTTAACAAACTATAGGCATATATTATGTTTTTGTGAAAAATACAATGATTAGGGTAGCTGGATTTATAAGTTTGCTGTGACTTTCGTTAACAAGCATATGAGGAGTTGGTCTCTTTGAATTAAAGCCTCATGTTAAAAAAAAGTAAACCTATAAATTACTTCAAGAGACAATACAAGAAAACCTACCAAAATAAACTATAAATTAAATAAAGGTACACTAAAATATTTTAAGTGACAGACCCAGGGATCCCTTAGTGCTCTAATCTGTAGTGCAAAAGACAAGGAGACATGGAAATGTCAGTAAACATTTCATTGTGCAATACTCCTGCTAAACAAGAAAAGGCATTTGTCTTTGGTGTTGAAGTATTTAAGAGTGAAGAGGCAAGGTGGAAAATATAATTGAGTATTTAAAAAGTATAATTCAATTGACTGCATTGGCTACAGGGAGAACACTCTAGCAGCTGGTTGAGAGAATTCCATACCAGGACTCTGCAGTCAGGTGCAGGATGGTTATTCATTCATCCAATGAAGCATGAGTGAAAAGCATTATCTCATGTAGAAACATTCTTATTGGTTGGTCAAAGAAGAGGAAAGAAAACTCCTGGCAAAATTAATCTCATTGACATTTCACATGTATTTTGTTCAGAATGGTTTCGGACTTATTGTTAAGAAAGTCTTATTAACTCTCTGCTCTGGGCAATATCAATAATTTCTTTGGATCTTCAAGTTTGATTTAGTCCCAAGAACAAGGAAGCTCCTGCCATAAATTACTCTCCTTGTCACTATGAGGAAAAGACAGTTATACATTTCATTGGATTATTAAAATGGTAGAAATGATGAACTTATTTCAAAAAATATTTAACATAATGTAAAATTACCTGTTGAAATATACAATTAGTCACTTGAAAGTTCAACAGCATATCTATATAATCACAAATATATTATATATATACATATATAATTAACTGTTCTTAAGACTGTTGCTTTGAGTTTTTTATTATTGTTTTCATTCAAGTGTTTATCTGCTTTCTAGGAAAATCCTTTTTTGTTACTTGCTTTTGCCAGAATTTTCAACCTAAAGCTATCAATTATTTGTGCCAAAAATTACTAAGCTTAAGTGGTTTTTAAATTCCCTCTTTAATTTTCAGAAAGCTCTGACATTTTCTGAATCTACAGATAACTGGTTATTTTATAATCACAGATCGTCCTTCTTAAATCACTTAAATATGCCAATAATGACTTCTTTCTATACTCAACAGCTAAATTTGAGCCTAGAACCCTGCTGGTCAGTCTAGGATGGTGTGTTTTTTATGTACTAGTGACATTTTAGAGCTCAATTCTATTTTCACTGGGGAAAGATTCTATGATTCCATTAGTCATTAGTCCTTCGAGTCTTAAGCACTGCAGTGACTATAATCTCCCAAAGAAATGAAGTGACAGAACCATTCAACATATTATAAAAATGTATAAAATTATGAAAGGAGACTAAGAAAATCAGCCTGTCATAGATGATTGTTATAACATGAATCTGCATAGTTACTCCAAAAAGGAGACAGTATATTTTATTCAGCCAGTAGTTTATGACACTTAACCAGGCTAGTGACAAGACAAATTTGTAGTACTGTGGTTCTAATATTAAAAGCCCAGTTGCAAAGTCAAACTGAATCAATGTACTCATCCACACATTCACACAGAGACACATAAATGCAAGCTTGAATGTCAGAAATGTAAAAACAATAAAAATAATATTGTCTGGAGTACTATTTAGACTACTATTTAGAGTGATTTAAAATCTAATGATTGCCACTACCAAATTGTGTAAATACAGATCTGGCATTTTTGGTCTATCATACTACCACTTATGAAATACAAAGGTAAAACTGGACATGTAGTAACTCTTTTTAATATCTAAAACCCTAAATCATTCTCTGACACATCAGGGTCAATTTATCTTTTGAAAAATGTAAACTTATTAATTCATCTATACATCAAAATTTATTAAGCCTATATGAAATGCCATTGTTCTGTGTACTGGAATATAGCAGAGAACAGGAAAAACAAGGTCCATGGAAATAGGAAGACAGCAATAAATAAGAAGATAATAAATAAAGCATGTAATTTTAGAATGTGGTCATTGCTATGAGAAAAATGAAAAAGGGAATTGCACAAGAGAGGAATTGAAAGATGGCTACTTCAAATTTAGTAATTTAGGAAGGCTTCTACATATATAATTTTATATTAATTACAATTGCAAACAAGGGAATATTTTTAACAGGAGTGCATAACATATTTACTTTTTGTTGTTGTTGTTCAAGAGCACAATCATTGCTTTGAGGAGAATAGACTGTAGATTCTGCGGCAGAGCAAATGTGACAATGCTAACACTGCAGATAAAAGCAATAGAGGTTGGTAGAAGTAGTGATGAAGGAAAATGGCAGGGCTTGGGAGACATCGGAAGGCAGAGTCGAGGGGATTTATTGATGCATTGGATAAAAATGGTGTTGAGGGAAAAGACAGGATTAAGAATTATTTCCAGATTTAGCAATTATTTGCAACTGGTTTGATGGCAGTATCACTTACTGAATAAAAAAGAATGAGGAGAAATACTTGATTGAAGGTAAATTTTAGGTGTTCAAATAGCAATATCCAAAAGCAACTGACTGCATAAATCTGGAACTCATTTAAGAGGTTAGGGCAGAATATAACTTTTGGGGAGTCAAGTTATCTCTATAAAGACATCTAAAGTTCTGAACTGGCTTTGGTTTTTTTAGGTAGAACATATTAGAGATGAGCAAATAATGTAGAATTCAAGCTGAAGCATTTCATCCAGTCAGAATTGAAGAAGCCAAGCAGTGAGGTTAAAGAAAAACACACAGGGTTTCTACTTATCTACTGATTCCTAACAAATCCCTTTAAATTTTAATGGTTTTAAACATGTCTTTAATAGACTCCTACAGCTTGCCATATACAAAAATCAAATTCAAATGAATTAAATACTTAAATATAAGACCTTAAACTATGAAACTATTGCAAGGATACACAGGGAAAAATCTCCAGGATGTTGATCTGGGCAAAATTTCTTCAGTAATACGACACAAGCACAGGCAACCAAAGCAAAAATGGACAAATTGATCATATCATGTTGAAAAGCTTCTACACAGCAAAGGAAACAATCAACACAGTGAAGACCTACAGAATGGGAGGAAATATTTGCCAACAATCCATCTAACAAGGGATTAATAACCAGAATATATAAAGAGTTCAAACCACTCTATAGGACCACTCTTTATGTGTGTATGTGGTTAGTGGTGTGGGTAGTTCTTTCCCCTCTGTATAAATCTGTGAAAGCTGCAGATTTAAATTCAATCTCCTCCCTATAGGGGGTAAGTAGAGATAATAAATTAGTGTTTAACAAAGAAGATTATTGAGAAGGCCTTGGAATGGGCAGAGAAGTGGGGCAGTAGGTTAGTCTTTTATTAAACACATCATCTCCATCCTTTAGTCCATGTGCATATTAAGAAGAAAATATCTAAAATCTAGAAAACCTACATATTGTATTGTTTTCAGAGTAAGAAACAGATCACAGGAAGCTATGAACAAAACCTCTCTCTCTGTACAATAAAAATGTCACATGGTTTCATTTGCTTAGATATACAAAGGGAGGGATTTGGTGGAAACTAGCATAAAATGCAAGGGGGAAAAAAACATGACAGGCAGACATAGTTGCCAATGACCTAAAACAGATGCCAAGTCAATTGAAGGGCCAATTTGTCAAAAACATTCCCTTTTAACTGCAAATTTCAAAACCACAAAATTTAACTTGAAATATGCTGTGACTGGGAAACATCGCTCAGATAATCGAGGTTATAATTACAGTGGAGCTGATGAAACATCATCTATAATCTATACTTTGGTTGATGCTATTTAAAGACATTTAAAGGTTTTTTTTCTTTGCCCCATTATTTTTTCCTCAAGTTTTCTATAAATTTATTGGATAAAACAGTTATGCTGTATAGCTCACAATTCTGTATAAAAGACTATCACTGCCAAGAACCAAAGAAAGTTTGTTATCAGGGGACTGCCAGTCTACAAATCAGTGTGATTAGTAGAAACATTCTTGCTGTTGTTAACAAATTGTGTCAAAGGCACATACAATGACATTCCAATATGCTAATGATACAAATTTAATTTGACATCCCAGAGCACATTCATGCCTGAATCTCAGAACCAGCACTGGGGTATAGAAAGCTATTTATCTGTATTTTAAATTACACATTGGTGCCCACCACTGGCTAATTTTTTGTATTTTTAGTAGAGATGGGGTTTCACTGTGTTAGCCAGGATGGTCTTGATCTCCCAACCTCATGATCCTCCCACCTCGGCCTCCCAAAGTGCTGGGATTACAGGTGTGAGCCACCACGCCCGGCCTAATGGCAACAATTTTGAAGGTAATTTTTACAAAATGGTTCAAAATGGGAACTACCAAGAGCGGTAAGTGGGATCAAAAGAAGGTGTTTAAATTTTTTTTTGTTTTAGTAGAAGACATAATTAAAAAAAAATCTTTTAGGTTCAGGGGTACGTGTGAAGGTTTGATGCACAGGTAAACTTGTGGCATGGGAATCTTTTGTACAGATTATTTAATCACCTAGTTATTAAGCCCAGTACCCAATAGTTATATTTTCTGCTCCTCTCCTTCCTTCCGTCCTCCATCCTCAAGTAGACCCCAATGTCTGTTGTTTCCTTCTTTGCATTCACAAGTTCTCATCATGTAGCTTCAACTTATAAATGAGAACATGGACCCTTTTCTGTTCCTGTGTTAGTATGCTAAGGATAATAGCCTCCAGCTTCATTCATGTTCCCACAAAGGACATGATCTCATACTTTGTTTGTTTGTTTTGTTTTGTTTTGAGACAGAGTCTTACTCTGTCACCCAGGCTAGAGTGCAGTGGTGCAATCTCAGCTCACTGCAACCTCCCCCTCCTGGGTTCAAGCAATTCTCCTGCCTCAGCCTCCCGAGTAGCTGGTGTTATAGGCGCCCGCCACTGCACCAGGCTAATTTTTTTTTTTTTTTTTTTTTTTTGGGATTTTTGGTAGAGACGGGGTTTCACCATCTTGGCCAGGCTGGTCTCAAACTCATAGTCTCGTGATCCACCTGCCTCAGCCTCCCAAAGTGCTGGAATTACAGGTGTGAGCCACCAAGCCCAGCCGATCTCATACTTTTTTTATGGCTGCATAGTATTCCATGGTGTATATGTAGCACACTTTCTTTATCCAATCTGTTATTGATGGGTATTTAGGTTGATTCTATGTCCTTGCTAATGCAAATAGTGCTGAAATGAACATTTGTGTGCATGTGTTTTAATGGTAGAATTTTTCTGGGTATACAACTAGTAACAGGATTGTGGAGTCAAATGGCAGTTCTGCTTTCAGCTCTTTAAGGAATCACCATACTGCTTTCCATAATGGATGAACTAATTTGTACTCCCACCAATGGTATATAAGTGTTCCCTTTTCTCTAAAATCTAACTAGCATCTGTTTTTTTTTTTTTTTACTTTTTAATCATAGCCATTCTGACTGGTGTGAGATGGCATCTCATTGTGGTTCCAATTTACATTTCTCTAATGATCAGTGATATTGAGCTTTTGTTTTTTTTTTAATGCTTGTTGGCCACATGTATGTCTTCATTTGAAAAGTGTCTGTTCATGTCCTTTGCCCACTTTTTAATGAGGTTGTTTGTTTTTCTCTTGTAAATTTGTTTAAGTTTCTTATAGATGCTGGATATTAGACCTTTGCCAGGTACACAGTTTGCAAATATCTTCTCCCATTCTGTAGGTTGCCTGATTACTATGTTGATGGTTTCTTTTGCTGTGCAGAAGCCCTTAAACTGAATTAGCGTCTTTTTCATGAAATCGTTGCTCGGTCCTATGTCCAGGATGGTATTGCCTAGGTTGTCTTCTAGGGATTTTACAGTTTTGGGTTTTACAATTAAGTCTTTAATCCATCTTGAGTTGATTTTTGTGTGTGGCATAAGGGAAGGGTTCAGTTTCAATCTTCTGCATATGGCTAGCCAGTTCTTCCAGCACCATGTATTAAATAGGGAGTGTTTTCCCCATTGCTTGTTTTTGTCAGTTTTGTCAAAGATCAGATGATTGTAGGTACATGGCCTTATTTCTGGCCTTCTGATTCTGTTCCATTGCTCTATGTATCTTTTTTTGTGCCAGTGCAATGCTGTTTTGGTTACTGTAGCCCTGAAGTTATAGTTTGCAGTTGAGTAACGTGATGCCTACTGCTTTGGTCTTTTTGCTTAGGATTGTCTTGACTATTTGGGCTCTTTTTTGGTTCCACATAAATTTTAAAACAGTTTTTTTCTAGTTCTGTAAAGAATGTCATTGGTAGTTTCATAGAAGTAGCATTGTATTAGTCAGGGTTTTCTAGAAGGACAGAACTAATAGGATACATGCATATATAAAGGGGAGTTTATTAAGGAATATTAACTCACAACGATTACGTGGTCCCACAATAGGGTGTCTGCAAGCTGAGGAGCAAGGAAGCCAGTCCAAGTCCCAAAGCTGAAGAATTTGGGGTCTGATGTTCCAGGGCAGGAAGCATCCAGCATGGGAGAAAGATGTAGGCTGGGAGGCTAAGCCAGTCTAGTCTTTTCACTTTCTTCTGCTGCTTTTTATTCTGACCCCGCTGGCAGCTGATTAGATTGTGCTGCCCAGATTAAGGGTGGGTCTGCCTTTCCCAGTCCACTGACTGAAATGTTAATCTTCTTTGACAAAACCCTCACAGACACACCCTGGCATAGTACTTTGCATCCTTCAATTCAATCAAGTTGACATTCAGTATTAACCATCATAAGCATTGAATCTGTAAATTTCTTTGGGCAATATTGCCATTTTAATAGTATTTAATAGTAAGCATTGAATCTGTAAATTTCTTTGGGCAGTATTGCCATTTAATAGTATTCCTATCTATGAGCATGGGATGTTTTTCCATGTGTTTGTGTCTTCTCTGATTTCTTTGAGCAGTGCTTTGTAATTCTTATTGCAGAGATTTTTTTTACCTCCCTGGTTAGCTGTATTCCTAGGTATTTTATTCTTTTTGTGGTGACTGTGAATGGGATTGCCTTCCTGATTTGGCTCTTGACTTGGCTGTTGTTGGTGTATAGAAATGCTAGTGATTTTTGTACATTGATTTTATATCATGAAACTTTGCTGAAGTTGTTTTTCAGCTGAAGGAGCTTTTGGGCTGAGACTATGGGGTTTTCTAGATATAGAATCATGTCATCTGCAAACAGAGATGGTTTGACTTCCTCTCTCCCTATTTGGATGTCCTTTATTTTTTTCTCTTGCCTAATTGCTCTGGTTAGGATTCCAATACTATTTGAATAGGAGCCGTGAGAAGGGGCATCCTTGTCTTGTTCTAGTTTTCAAGGGGAATGCTTCCAGCATTTGCCCATTCAGTATGATATTGGCTGTGGGTTTGGCATAGGCTCTTATTATTTTTAGGTATGTTATTTCAAAACCTAGTTTATTAAGAGTTTGTAACATGAAGTGTTGTTGAATTTTATGAAAAGGCTTTTCTGCATCTATTGAGATAATCATGTGGTTTTTGTCTCTAGTTCTGTTTATGTGATGAATCATATTACTGATTTGCATATGTTGAACCAACCTTGCGTCCCAGAGATGAAGCCTACTTGATCGTGGTGGATTAGCTTTTTGATGTGCTGCTGCATTTGGTTTGCAAGTTGTTAAGGATATTTGCATCGATGTTCATCAAGGATATTGGCCTGAAGTTTTCCTTCTTTTTGGGTTCCTGCCAGGTTTTGGTATCAGGATGATGCTAGTCTTATAGAATGAGTTGAGGAGTAGTGCCTCCTCCTCAATTTTTTGAAATAGCTTTAGTAGGAATGGTACCAGCTCTTCTTTGTATATTTGGTAGAGTTCAGCTATGAATCTATTAACTTCTGGGCTTCTTTTTGGTTGGTAGGCTATTTATACCTGATACAATTTTGGAGCTCATTATTGGTCTGTCAGGGAATAAATTGCTTCCTGGTTCAGCCTTGAGAGTGTGTATGTGTCCAGGCATTTATTCATTTCTTCTAGATTTTCTAGTTTGTGTGCATAGAGGTGTTTGGAGTTTCTGATGGTTATTTTTAGAGAAGTAATATTTTATATGCTGATGAGAATAATCCAATACACAAGAAAAAAATGATGAAGTAGGAATGAAAGGAGAGAATGGCTGGAATGATGTTCTTGAGTAGATGAGCAGGATAGGATTAGTGAACAAGTGGAGAGATGACTTTACATGACTTTAGACTTTAGAAACACAAAGATGCCTGAAGTGAACATGCCTTATATAAGTGGATGTTGTGTTGAAAGTCTGCAGAAGTTCTATTCTGATTGCTTTAGTTTAGCAGTATAGAAGGAAGCAAGATCATCAGCCGAGAATCAGAATAAGGGAGGTTTCAGGAAAGAGGAGAAAGTGTTAATATTAATTTAGAAGAATTCAAGAGTAAACAGACTTCTGAAATAATATAGCATGATCTCCAGGAGCAATAAGGCCCACACGAGGTCATTGGTCATGAATTAAAAGTTCAACCAGGCAGCAGGGTTTGTTTGTCTCCACATGTTGAGACACAGAATGAACAAAATGTACACAGAAACTTGAAGTTTTATTTTTCTAATGTTTAATGTGGCTTTTTGCCAGAGCCATACTCACTTCTTAAATGCAGGGAAAAAAACTTTTGTTTCTCTCCAGCATAAACCTTTCTGTGTCTCCCAAATATTAGCCATTCCTTTAAATGGTGAAGTCTATCTGGGATAAAAATGCCTCTCAGATGGTATCCCTCTCTGCAACCCTTCCTGAGATGGCTTAGTGTATGGAGTGTGGTTTATTTGAACTAAGCACAGTAGAGAAAATGTGTGCTCTTAATTTGTGTTGTCTTTTTCCTCCCATGTTGTCACTGGTCTCCTGGGTTGTCACATGCCCTGAATGTAATAATAATCTTGCCTCATATGCATGTGTAGGTAGCAGTTACCAGAGGAATGCAGCCTGTACTTATCTGCATTATGAAACTGGGTTTTCTACTTAGGGTAGGAGGTGCACTTGACCCTCATCCCCTATTTAGAACTCTATGCAATAATCTTCCCCAAGCTGTGTCACACCAACCTAGATCTAGGTCACAAAGTGGCAGCATAGCAGAGAGAAGTGTGGAGGTTTAATTAGCATTCCTGAGGCATTGTGGGGTTCTTCTTGGGATGTTTACCCATTAGGAAATAAGTGGACAACACACAGAACCTTGTAAGAGTGGAAGGAATCCTGTAGCAGAGGCTGGGTGAGTACTGGCCAAGGAGCTGGATAAAGAATTAAGCACCATTTATTGAAGAGTCTGATCTTGCTCTGATGTGTGCTTTTCATACCTTTTTCAAAAATTAGTTGGCTGTAAATACATGGATTTATTTCTGGGTTGTCTACTATGTTTCATTTGTTTATGTGTCTATTTTATGCTAGTACCATGTTGTTTTAGTTACTATAGCTCTGTAGTATATTTTTAAGCCTGATAGTGTAATGCCTCCAGCTTCATTCTTTTTGCACAAGATTTCTTTGGTTATTTGGGATTTTTGTGTTTGCATATGAATTTTAGGATTGTTTTTTCTATTTCTGTGAATTATTTCATTGGTATTTTCATAGAAAATTCATCAAATCTGTATATTACTTTGAATAGTGTATTAGTCCATTTTCATGCTGCTGATAAAGACATACTCAAAACTGGGTAATTTACAAAAGAAATAGGTTTAATTGGACTTGCAGTTCCACATGGCTGGGGAAGCCTCACAATCATGGCAGAAAACAAAGAGGATCAGGTCACATCTTTCATGGATGGTGGCAAGCAAAAAGAGAGCTTGTGCAGGGGGATGCCTTTTTTTTAAAACCATCAGACCTCATGAGACTCATTCACTATCAGGAGAACAGCATGGGAAAGGCCTGCCCCCATGATTCAATCACTTCCCACTGGGTCCTTCCCACAACACGTGGGAATTCAAAATGGTGATTTGGGTGGGGACACAGCCAAACCATATCAGGTAGTATGGACATTTTGACAATATCAATTATTCTAATCCATGAACATGGGATACTTTTCATTTATTTATGTGCTCTGTAATTTCTTTAATCAATGTTTCATAGTTTTCATTGTAGAGATTTTCCCCTTGTTGGTTAAATTTATTCCTAGATATTTTATTCATTTGTCTTTTGTAGCTATTGTAAATGGGACTGCCTTCTTGATTTCTTTTTTAGATAGTTTGCTATTGGCATATAGTGAAGAGACAACCCACAGAATGGGAGAAGATAGCTGCAAATTATGCATCTGACTATGAGTGAATATCCAGACTATATAAGGAACTCAAAGAACTCAATAGCAAAATAACAAATAATCTGATTAACAAGCAGGCAATGGGTCTGAATAGACATTTCTCAGAGAAGACATGTAAATGGCCAACAGGTACATGAAAAAATGTTCAGCATCACTAATCACCAGGGAAATGCAAATCAAAACCACAAGGAGATTTTTTTTTTACCCTTATTAGAATGGCTATCATAAAAAAGACAAAAGAAAAAGACAAATGTTGTCAAGGATCTGGAGAAAGGGAAAGGGACTCTCATACACTAATGGTGGGAATGCAAATTATTATACCATAATAGAAAGAGTAGAGAGTTTCCTTTAAAAATTAAAAATATAAGTACCATATGATCCAGCAACCCTATTATTGGGTATATATGCAAAGGAAATGAAATCAACATGTCAAAGAGATATCTGTACTTCCTTGTTTATTGCAGCACTATTCACAATAGCCAAACCATGAACACAACTTAAGTGCCCTTCATCAGATGAACTGATAAAGAAAATGTGGTATATTTACAGAACAGAATACTATTCAGCCACACAAAAGAATAGAATTCTGTCATTTGTGCAACATGGATGAGTCAAAGAACACCATGTTAAGTGAAATAAGCAAGGCACAGAAAGATAAATATGATATTTCCTCATTTATATGTGGAAACTAAAAAAAGTTTATCTCATAGAAGCAGAGATAGAATAGTGGTTGTCAGATTCTGGGAAGGGAAGAGGGTGGGGGATTATGAAGAGGTTGGTCAAGCTGTACAAAGTTACAGTTAAATAGGAGGAATAAATCCCAGTGCTCCATTGTACGGTGACTATAGTAACAATAAATATTGTATATTTCAAAATAGCTAAAAGAGGAAAATTTGAATGTTCTCACCATGAAAAGATAAATATTTGATGTGATATGCTAATTACCCTAATTTGATCATTACACATTGTATACATGTATTGAAATATCCCACTGTACCTGGTAAATACATACAATTATTATGTAACATTTAAAAATAAAATAAAGCTTTGTAAAAAAAAGAGAATACTGAGCAGAATGCTCTTCATGTAGCTTATACAGTTGGTACACTGTACATGATTCTTGACATGTTTATCTCTACTATTAATGCAATAAAAAGTTTCATTAAAAATTACTTTAAGAAAAAGCACTAAGCAGAGTATGTATGGTGTCTACTGGAGGCTGATTAAGTCAGGGAACACAGCTGGTGTCCAGCCATGTATATTGAGAGACAGCAGGCTACTAGATTCTTCAGCTGCAAATACCAATACGCACGTGTTATTTGCAAGGAGAATCTGAATGATAAGTACACATTTCTGGGAGTGGTGGGTAGAAAGGGAGAGGGATGAAATGTACTAAGTGAACAAAAATGAACAATGTTAATACGTGTAAACTACATATAGATTATAATATACATAGGTAGGAATATTACTTAACTATTTTTGGAGATCTTTTTAATCATGCTTCACTTTCTTCCTCCCATGCCTACCCCATCCCATATCTTCATATTAATTTTATTGGAAAGCACTGCTTTCATGGAGCTTTCATTCTAATGGAAATTCAGTATAAGTAGAGTTCAAGGAATGTTGATTAAGTAAATGAACAAATGAATGCTGTGGGGAAGATATAATGAAAAAGTCAGCATTTTGGATAGGCTCTGAAGGAAAATAAATTACAGTAAATGAAAACACATCTATACCACCAGCAAAATCACAGGAGGTTGAAAGTATGGGGCATGTTTTGAGAGTATTATCAAGTAGTCTGCTATTTGCATAATATAAAGGAAAAACCACAGGACTTATACACAGACTTGAATATAAATCTTGCTTCTTTAATTTATTCTCTGTGTGAACCTGCAAGAGATAGTGGACTTTTCTGCGCCTCAGTTTCTTGAGTTCAAAAATAAAAATAGCTTTACATCATCTTTCAAGATCATTGTAAGGACTGAATTTAGCACCTACCAGGTCTTAACAAATGCTACATGAGAAATGGTAACAGAAATGAAGTTTGATGTAAAGTTCACGATGAAATCAGGAAGGTCTTTGAAGCCACGATACATATCCAGATAGGGTATTATGTCATGGGTAATGATGACTTGGTGAAAATTTATGAGCTGAGAATGTTATCACTGATCTCACTTAAAGACCACCAGAGGCAGAGCTCTGGCTTATTTCCGATTGCAGCAAGGCAACTGTGGGGTGTTTCTGTAAGGGAATGATAGGACTTAACAGAATTTGGCCATGGGTTAGATGATTTTGGAGATAAAGTTGGGCTTTTCTGTGGATTGAATGTTGTCAGGAAGCAGGGGTATCTTAATGAATATCATCTAGAAAGAGAGAACATTAGAGCAAGGCTAAAGCTACAAAACAAGCAAAAGTCACAAATATTGGCCAGCATGTGCGCTGTTTGGCTTTTTTGTGGTTTGGAAAATGCTCACATTTTCCTCTCTGTTTAGACGTGATTGGAGGATGGTCTTGATTCTGTCTTTATCCATTATGGTCACAGAGTAGCCTGGTCTGATATAGACGTTCTATAAAGTTGTATGTGTTCAACAGAACATCAAGGCCTATCTGTGAGTACCAGACCAGCTTCCAGAAACATCAATACATAATGAATAGTAGCAGGCCAGTCATCTGATGTCAGCCTAGCCCCTAGATGTCCCAGATTGTCAGATATCTACTTTACTATTTCTCAGTGTAAGTTCATATATATATGTTAGGAGAGGAACCAGAGCTGTATCCTCTTATTCCAGGTGAGTAATAATGAGAACTTAAACTAGAGACTGCATAGGAGGATGGTTATTTGCCAAAAAAAAAACACCGGATTTTGAATCTATCAGAAATGGGTTAAACAGGATTCTGGTGATGTATGGTTACTTGAATGGGAGTTATGTCATTTTTAATGCTTAGATTTCATAAGCATGTTTTTCTTTAACATATCCCATCAATAATTTTATATTGTGATGGTGAATTGAAGTACCTAGAGTCATTCAAATTGTCAATTTAGAATAATACTTACCAAGTCTCTTTTTTCAGAGCCTTAGAAACCTTCACAACTTCCTGAAACACCTCCCCTTCCTCCCGGCTGTCAAGGGAAGAGCAAACTAGTAGGGTTCTATTTCCCCTCCTGATACTAGCTATGACCATTTTGCTTTTTTTCTATCATATTTTAGGGGTTTTAAATATATACATAATATTTTGTCTTAAAAAAGAGGCACTACTTCCCAGCACTTTATCGCATGCATTATCTAAAAATCTCTATCCTGGGCAGAGCTAATTGTAGGCAGCTCTGGATGTTGCTTCCTAGCAGGCTGTTTCAAAATGTAAATGTTTGTCCTGACTCAGTCTTTGCCTATGGTTATAGTGAGACCTCATTCAAAAGTGAACAATTATTCAATCTCAGCATTCATAGCAACAATCGCTTTGATAGCTTTTGCCTCATTATGCTCCCACTATGTTCCATTATTAAGCAGAATAGTTTAAATGAAGAAATGATTACAGCAAGGGAAACGGCTTTTCAGTAGTATTGGCTTTTTAAGTTCCTTGGTCTTCTAGCTTTATATGAATATTTTATCTATTAAAAGATATATCAACCCAGGCAGACTTCTTGAACTATCTAAAAATGAAATTAATATGTTGTCTTTCAGATTTTCCCATTACCAGTACTTAAACGGGAAATCCACTTACATAATTTTATGCAAAAGAAAGGTAGTCTTTCTACTGCTGATGCAAAGTGGCACTTCTATGTAGCTTGACTATACATTCCAGGCCAGTCAGTCTCATAAATTTTACATGTGCATTCTAGATATTATGTTGCTTTGGGATATCTGTTCCTGTTGTCATTGAGTACCTAGATTATTATGAATTACCTACAAAACTTGACAACAGGACCACAGTCTTCTTTCATCTGAAATTAGTCTTCCTTGGATGTATATGCTAGCCAATATTCATAGAGTAACCTCTGTGCAGTTTTGGCAACATATTATGTAGAAAAAAAGTACCTGTATCCCCATGGTAAATTACTTCAGGCAATTGGCATAGCCTCTAGAATAAAAACTGAACTTAGTAACAATATATAGGAGGTTATCTGTAATCGGGACCCACGATGCCCTTGATCAGCCTCACACCCCTGACACTCTTGGTCACTACTTAAAGGTAAGCCCTGTATTGGGTCACAAATACCCTCATGTTCTCTTTTTTACATGACGATCTAACCTTGGCCTCCCTTTACTTTTCAATTCACTATGTCCTTCTTTCCTAATATTTTACTTCTAGAACTCTTACTTCCTCATAAAAAGTACCACTACTATATTCATCAATTAAAAATGTGTATCTCATATATCCTAGCTTTAACTGACACATGGCCCTGTCAATTTCAATATCGAGTCAAGGCAGATGCTTCCTTTATACTCATTAACACTTGGTTAAAGAGGTTGGTTCTGTCCATCTTGACCCTAAGACTCTATTCAGTTCTTCACTACTTTTAATAAAATACCAGTCAATGTCTGCCAGCCCCCAACTGTGCTTCCCACATTTGTGCAATAAAGAACCAACTTTATTTGGACCTCATGAGTTTCCTTTTCACATTTGATCGAATTAGGGGAGGCTATCTGCTCCAGGAATAGTCTGTTTATGAGTTGGCAGAGACCAAAGATATGTACTACAATAGATAAGTAAGATAGGCCAACCTAATTCACCCTCTGAATAATTTGGATGATTCAGAGAAATTGCTCATCCGAAGGCTAAGAAGGCAATCTAAAATGCCTATGCCTGAAAATCCCTGGCTCTAAAAATCAGGAATTTAAAAGAAAAGTTGTGAGCTTTGAAAGTTATGCTTTTGTCTTACTTTCAGCACAGGAGCAGTGGAAGAAGGAAAGAAAGATGAAGCTAAATAGGTTGATTAACGTGAAAGAGAACTATGTCTACAGAAGACAAGTTTGAGAGTTTGGAGGATTTGCAAGGAAGATATGTAGGGAAAAAGGAGACCTTGAAGTCAAAGCTAGATAAAAACAAAAGTATAATGAAGTGCTTGCAGGTCTAGCTACTCTTGAAGAGAGTATGAGAAAGGGGCGAGTTTATCTGGTTGTTATTAAATCAGGAATCGTGACTGGGACTTTAAAGAAATGTCTCTAGAGGGAAAGAGACAAAAATCTCCAAGAATAAGCCAGAGTGACTCCTTGAAGGGAACCTGAATACAAAAACAATTGAAAGCCATTCACTTAAGTAACCCAAAATTAGAGCTTCCAGGAAATTACCCCTTGAAGACCGAGGACCTCTTCCAAGTGGTTACATAACATTTGGGATGATTTGGGAGATAAAGACTGGAAGACTAACACAGAATTATTAAAGTATTAATTTGTGATTTCAAATATTGCATATGAGGAAGTAACTACTGCCCTAGTTGAATACACCCTGGAAATGTATGTAATCAGGGTTATAAGGCATAGGGACGATTAGACACATTTTTTGAAAGTGAGGAAGATGGTCAATGTTAGATTGAATCCAGCCCTGTTTGAATGTTAACTTAATGGCTATCGTATTTATGGGATGTTCATTCAATTGTTGGTCTTTGTGTACTAATACACATAAAATATTGATCAAGATGACTGTTATATATACAGGAGTCCTACTTCTAAGAAGGAAAAAGTGAAAGAGAGGTGTGCAAAAAACAAGTAGAGCAGGCTTTGAAAATTTTCTTTTAAAACCTCTTTGAATTTCTACCCTATAATATATGCATATTATAGGTCTCTTTTTAGATAGAACTAGGGCTAATGGCGAGTCTCTCTGTGAGAGAGTTTGAGAAGTAAATAGTTTAGCAAAATTAGGGTTCTGTTAATAAGTTAGATTAAAATAATGGATATTGTAACAGAGAACACATTGCATGAACAATTAACGCTTTTAGCAAAATTGGAACTCACTTATTCCCAATCTCTCACTATAAAGAATGACACAAGACAAAGTTTAGAAGAATAAGTTAGCCAAAGAAATGTTAAGGCAAGAAGACAAAGAGAAAGAAAAAACAAGGAGTCATTCAGATGTGCCAGTGCTGCATGAGGTCAAGAAGTTAAGTTTCACTGTCGGCAATCCAGCTGAGCTTCCTCAATAAACCACTGGAGGAGCTATTTGCCTCCCAAACAAGATCCTTCTCAAAATCTAAAACATTAAAATCCTTAAGTGAAGATAATATCTTAAAGTGCAGATAGCTGAGTTATTGGTAGCTACTATATCTCTAGGGAGACAGGTTTCATATACATCAACAGCAGCTTCCTTTAAGTAATTTGCTGAGTATGATTTTCCAGTTGCAAGACTAGGGGACTCTACCTTACAGGCCCAAAGTAATTGTATTGCAAGAGATAATGGCTACAAGAAGCTATGGCAGAACTGAAGTAAGAATGCCTTCTAATGGAGAAGTGTGTGTGTCTGTGTGTGCGTGTGCATGCGTGTGTGTGTGTGTGATTGGGGGGCAGGATGGCCACATATATTCCACTCTCAGTGTAGCACCAGGACATTGGCTACTCAATGTTCACAGAAAAACTAGAAATTAAGACATTTTTAATGTGCTGGATAAAAATAAGCCCTGAAGAATGGGCCTGCCATCACTACAGATTTTGAACACCCCAAGATAGCAGGATTATTCTAATGCTACATACTGGGAGAGATTTTTTTCTTGAACCTAGAGAATTTAAATTGTACCGTAATTAATTCCATGGTGAGATATTTCCCCTTACTGAATTTTAATTTATATATCTTGAAGGATATACTCCTGAGATAGAATGATTGACAAGCTGGTAAGCCTGAAACAAAGGTTCTTCTTGATTCTGTCTATTCTCCATTGCTCAGATATTATTGAGTCTTAAGCAAGAGTAATATCGGTCTACTTTGTGTTTTTTGGAAACTTCTTTTTGCTTGTTGTAACTACAATCTGGGAATTGCCTTATTGTCTTCATTTTGTAAATGTGCAACTTAATGCTAATACATTCCTTTGTTCCTAATGTATACTTTAGACTTTCTACAAATGGAGACACAGGATAAACTTAGCACGGGTAATCTGATTTCAGGGACATTGACAGAACTTCATCCCTTTCAGTGAGAGGCAGGTTGAAGCTGTTGAACTTTGATCAGGGATCTGATTTATAGTCCTGCTCTCCAGCTGAGAATTAGCAGGATTAAAAAACAAAACAAAACAATGATGATTTCTGACTTCAACTTCAAGGTTTTGGACTTTCCTTGAACCTAATATGTAAAGGCAAGACAATTTCATCTTTGGAATTTATTTTATTTGAGTAGAAACTTAAGAATATGGGTTTTTGATTTCTGTGGACTTAGATTGGCAAGGATCTCATTTGTGACATTTTAGTTTCTCCTCAGAGATATGATGACGAGTGTTTATATTTAAATCAGGGATATCTCTATATTGCTGACATTAGAATGTTTTTATGCTGTCACTTAATTTAACAGCATAACTTATGGTGAGGTATCTTATGCAAAGTGTCCAGGTGTACTTTGAGAATAAGTAAAATGAGAATAAGGAACACTTTTTTGCCTTAGGGAACAGTAGGCTCTTCCTGTGTAATACTGACCCATTTCAGAGCCTTGGAGGTAAACGTTAAACACCTTCTGGGAGAAGAAGGAAACCCAAAGCAGGATTAGTGGCCGTTTGGGGAATGGCTCATGAAGTATGAGTGGGCTGTCTTCATAGAATGCTTCTTGCCTCTTCTGAGAGAGATAGCCACAGAGCCAGTGGAATACAGACCCAAGGGCTAAGTGCAATGAATTAAGCAAGCAAGGAGCTGAAATGTAATTAGGGGAGTTTCTCATTTCCTGACCTCGTTTTTCTATTTGGGAGGACTTCTTCTATAGTGACACACTTGACACTCCCTCCTCTCCCTTTCTTATTCATTCATCCTTCATTAGAGAACTAATTTATATATTTAGGGAGTTTAAAGAAACATCTGGGCATGACTAGTCCATCTTCTAGTGGGTTGGAGAACATCCTCTCCAAAACTCATGTCCACCTGGAACATTAGAATCTGACCTTGTTTGGAAATGGGGTCGTTACAGTTGTAATTAGTTAAGACAAAGCCACACTAGATTAGAATAGGCCCTAAATCCACTGACCAGTGTCCTTATAGGAAAAAGGACACATGGAGACAAGAGGGGAAAGGCCATATAATGACAGAGGCAGAGTTTGGAGCAATGCAGCTACAAGCCAAAGAATGTCAACGATTGCCTTGCTGTGAGCCACCAGAAGCTAGAAAAATGTAAGAAAGGATTCTTTCCCCCAGCTTTCAGAGACAGTATGATCCTTTGACACCTTAACTTTGAATTTCTAGCCTACGGAAGAGAATACATTTCTGTTGTTTAAGCCACCAAGTTTGTGGCAACTTATTATGGTAGCTTCAGGAAACAGTTCCTATTTTTCTTTTTTGGAGCCAGGTCTGTCTGCAAGAGGCATGCATTCTGGTCTCCTTTCTGCCACGTGGTCATCTACCTGTGTCAGTGATGGGTGTTGAATCTTTGTAATTCAGGAGTATAACACTGATGAGTTCTTTAAAATGCAAATCAAATACATGATTTCCATTTGTCTTAGTGACAAAGTTGAGATTTTGATCTTCTTTGATATGATCCACATTTATCTCACAGTTGATTCCTGATTCAAGAGGGAATGAAGAATGTTATTTACTATTCTCAGCAAAACTCCCAAACTGTCAGCAGGGTTGGTTTCTGGTGAGGCCTCTTTTTCTGGCTTGTAGATGGCTGCCTACTTACTGTGTCCTCAATTGCCTTTCTCTGGGCACCCACAGAGAGACAGAGACAGAGATAGAGATAGAGAGAGAGATCTGATGTCTCTTCCTCTTCCTAAAAGGAAACCAGTCCTATTAGATCAAGGCCCACTCCTCTGTCCTCATTTAACCTCAATTACTACCACAAAAGCCCTATCTCCGAACACAGTCACATTGGGGGTTAAAGCTTCAGTACATGAATTTGGGGAAACACAATTCAGTCCATAACAATTCCCATTATTTCCATCTTCTGAAATTCATTTCCAAACACAGCAGGATGTTCAGGGACACAATAATTATTTTACTTATCCTTTACACTCTCCCAAACCTCTTAATGACCTTTCTCCCCCAGCCTCCGTTGAGGTCTTCTTTAGTGTCTCTTGGTAGACAACCCCATTCTTTTCTATTCTTTTTTAAAGAAATTGAAGTCATTATTTGTGCCTCGACAGCCTGACAGATGTCTAAATCTTGCCCCTGACTATCTCTGAAACCTAAACTCTTGACTTCACCTATCCTGTAACATACATTAGAAAACACCATTTTCTTCTAGTTTTTAAATATATTTCATTGTTTTTTTTCTTACATCTAGTCATTTTCATTGCTGTCTCCTTTTCTAGAATGTCCCTCACTTCCTTTTACTTTTCAATGGAGGTGCATAACTGTATCCACTACAATTTTTGTTTTTTTAAACAAGAAAGTTCTATAATGTACTATCCTTGCAAAACTTCATTAAAATGCAACCTAATTAGTTTAATTAACTTTAATAGAGGTTCAATAATTAATTTCCAAAAACATAATAGTTAACATTTACTATATGAAAACATTTAATAAGCAATAGCAAGGCTTTCAATATAAACTATTTTCATAATAAAGTGAATATATTTTCTAATAATGCTGAACAGAAAAGTATGACCTAAAAGAAAGCCTAAACTTTGGCTATTTGCTCATTATAATTTGTGTTTTTGTTCTGTCTTTACAACTCATGGGATTATACAGTAGTGCTCTTTTAATATTTACAATTTGATGAATTTGTAAGAGAAAAGTGGTTAAATTTGACAGATTTTAGAAAAAAAGAATAAATTAATGCTTTCAGCAGTTCCGTTACCAAACATGTTGCATTTCCCTCTTCTAATTGCCATAACTTAAACCCTGGCTAGGGACAGAGTAACACATGAACCATTTCAATAACACTTCGAGGCAATACCATTTAAACAGCCTATAAATTCCACCTTATATTTGCTAAGAGTGTATTGTAAAGTGAGACACTTAATCTTGGCTGAATATCAGGGAAAAGGATACAAAGGTGGTTATCCCAATTATGCTATTGCTGTCCATTTGCTTTGACCTAAAATGGTTTCATTTATGAGAGACAAATAAAGTTAGAATTAAAATAATACCTAGATAGATGCTCCTATTTAAAGCAGAGAAATCACTGCTTAAAAACTTTGTAATATACAACTGAAAGAAAATAATTTCTGTAAAGAAAATCCATTTTCAAAAACAGATGTATTTTTAAATATGAGTATTATCTGCAAAAGGGAGGCACCACCATGAGCCTGTGTCAGGTTCATTCTTACTAATGTTTATTACAAACAAGGCTTGACTGCCAGGTGACCTAACAGGGATTGACTGTTTAGTGTCTTCTAAGTGAAGGCCCAGAAATGTGCACTAAGAAAATGACAGGGATAATGAGATGAGTAAACTGTTTGGAGATCTGAAAGCAGGATAATTTTATTATGCCCGAAATAGTTACATCATATATCAAAATGAAGAATATTAGCTGACTGGGGCAAATCATCTAGGAAAACCACAGGAAATGAAAACATCCAAATTGCTGATCAGAAATCATACACAAAGGATTTAAGAGGATTTCTGTGAAAGACAGCTGAAAATAGTACACAACGATGGCTAAGCTATAAGAACTGGAAGACAACAATCAGGCCTCAAAGTTCTATCATATTACTTACAAGATTTAGGTTTCTTGTCAAGTTAATAAGTTAGTTTCTCCACCTCTACCACTGAGAAGATAGACAGATAGCCACTGTTATTGATATTCTTGCGATTAAATGAGATATATGTAAAACACTTAGCACAGTATCTGGTACATAGAAATGGTCAATAAATATTATAAAATATATATCCATTACTACTATTATTAGCATACAGAGTCTTAAATCAGGTTGCTACTCAGACAGCAGTTTGAGATACATATAAAAATATTTTTTTGGTGACTAAGAGAGCTACACAGTACAATTGTGTATGAAATCTAGAGAGAAGTCAAGTGGAAAATCAATAATTAAAAAACAACATAAAATCCTGGCCGAAATGTAAAATTTATTGAATTGTAATGAAGAGGCTGTGTTCCATAAACTACCTGTATGAATAGAACATGTGTACCTGTGGCCTCAATGTAAGGTCTATTGTTTGTGTGCTACAAATCATGAATCACATGCTGTGTAAAATAGTTCAAGAAAATTAAGTGGAAGAGACAAAATCCTAACACTATGAGCTTTGGTATAAAAATAGTTTAATTGTTGTAGTTACATAAGCACAAGAGAACCTTATCATTTAGCCCCATAGTCATTTTATTCCATGCTATCAAACCTATGATGACTTCAGGACAAATATTACCCAATTCTTTGTAATCAGATTATTTTTGTTGCTAAAAATAATAACACCTGCAAAAATATGAACAGAGACTATTATGATCAGGTTAAAATAATGTTGAAATTTTTATGGGATCCACTCACTACTCTCAGATCCTGGAGAGAAGTATCACAATTACCTGGTCTTGCCTCAGTCCTGTAGGATACTAACTCTCTTGTCAGCACCATGTAAAAAGTGGCCATTAACTCTGTTTCTTTGCTCACAATCCTGACTTGAGTCCCTTCACTGACCCAATTCCTACTCCCTGCAATTTTCTGATCTGTTCCTCATTATTCTTGTTTCTGAACTTGAGACTCACTTTCCAGTTATAACTTCACTTTTTTCCCTAATTTAAATTCAGCATCACTGCCAATAGTGCCCTTTTGTTTTGTCCTTTTGCAGGAGCTGAGTTTCTCCTTTGTCTCAGCTGCCATCAGCTGCCATGAGACAGTGAGATGCCAGACCCCTCATCCATCATGATTGCTTCCTTAACTCTCCATAGTTCCTATTTTCTTGGCTTCCCTGGCTACAAGAACCTCCCAATTTTAGTCAGTAGTGGAGATGGATTTTAGACTGCTCTCCCATTCTCCCAGCTGCAGCACCCAAGTAAAGCCTTCCCTGGCAATACTCATTGTCTCAGTGATAGGCATTCTTTGCTGTGAGCAGCAGGACCTAGACTGAGCCCCTGGCATTTCAGTAGCAAAACTTCATAGAATTCCTTCCTGAGAATTTGAGGTAAGATGTAGAAGGTAAGCATGGGGAAATAAAAGCATATCTCAGACCAACTAGGAGCATCAGTGTCATCATGACACCCCTTCTGGATCATTTGAATTCATACCTTCCAGTAAAGCTATTGTTTTATCCCAGATTCCTGCCAGCCAGTTATTTCAGCCTTGGCTCATACTTACAATGATTATTTTCTTAGCTTAAAATTATTCCTTCACATTCACTGTGAAAGAAATGACAGTGGAAAGGAAAGGGAATGGACATCATGTTTGAATTCTAAGACACTATCAATGTAAGAATGTGAGAAGCTGCATTAATTTAATATTAGCTTTATGGGGGAGAAACTTATAGGACACATCTTTATCACAGAAGGTTTAAGTGTAAAAATATTTCTGAATGAATAAAATTTGGTAATAGCTATAGACTGTTAAGTTTTATTGAATCAGGTACTGTGCTAGACACAGATTGCATGCACTAACTCATTTATTTCCCTCAATAGTCCTGTGTTACATTTAATTTTACCCATCCTGCAATTGAGGAAACTTTATTATACCCAGTGAGCTTTCTCAAGGTTACAGGGCTAGTAAGTGAAGAATAGTCTATGTGTTTTAGACTCATATGCCAAGCTTGTGATTTTTCTCCTGGTGCTGTGGTATATGAAACATTCCACCTATTAATCTCAAGAGCACTGGATGAGATAGGCATTTAAATGACCTCCTACAATGTAACCATCATCTTCCTCAGTAACTCATTCTCAAGATTACACAGCACCACTGCTGGGATCATTTTATCCTCAGAATTTGAAGCTAACATCCCAAACACCACATTTTATTTACTTCTCACATTTTTTTTAATCTTAGTAAATGCTTTCCTCCTCTCCAAATCCCTTCAAACTTTTTTTTGTCTTTTCCTCTGTAAGTCCCACGTGCATCTTCACTTTCTTTCTGCTGAACTTGACTCCTGTGACCCATCTCCATATATGCTCTTTCACCAGCAAACTTGGCTCCCTCATCCCCTTGTCCCTCTCTTGATAATTCCCAACTTAGAATCAATCCAATCATTTCTTGCTCTGCCAAGCACTGTGTTCAAAAAACCATACAACTATTCCAAATGCATCTAATACAAATATGTAGTGTCCAACATAACTAGTTTCCCAGCACTGCTGAGAACCTGGTTTATACTTTCCCTGGATACCTTCCTTTCTCATGTCTAACTGTGGTTCCTCCAGACTCTCAGTATTCTCATTAATTTGCTTACTCCCAGCCTGCCTCATTCTTAGATGATCAAGACTTTTCTTCCAGAAAGACAGAAGACTGAAGGCCCTCCATTTCAAAGCTCATCCTCCCTCATGTACATATATCATTTTCCCCAGATATCTGTAGCACTTACTCCTTCAACACTTTAAAGACCTGACTTCACTGGTAACTTTTATTTTTTTTCAATTCCAACCCTCCTATTTAATTAAAAGCATCCTCTTCCACTGCTGACTTGGTCCTCCTGATTCCTTTTGATCACTTTCTAACATGACCTTTTCAACATACTGTCCAATTTATTTATAATGTTCTACCCCCAGGTAGAATGTAAGCTCAACCGGGAGCTTTGTCTATTTTGTAAGCAGATGTATTACAAGCACCTGGCTCCTGGTAGGTACCAATAAATATTTGTTAAATGAATGAATAAATATGCACAAGTGTTTTGATTGCTTGTTTTCTTCCCCGTCCTTTCAGAGGAAGAGGTTCCTCAACCCACCTCTAGATAAGACTGATTATGACATCAGCTACTGGGAAAGGTGAGATAAATTGCCTCTTTACATCTGAATTGTGATTTTTCATAATGATGTTAAGATTGCATACTTGAAGCCTAGTATGAGAAAGCTTTCTTATGCCTTCTTCTACCAAACTACCTCAAGGACAGGGAATGCAGTGTGGAGACCCCCTTATCTCCTTTTATCTCTCAATATATTTGGACAGAACACATATCACTGCTGTGCACCATCTTTATCAGTAAATATACTTCCCAAACAAATGCCCTCCAGGTTGATGCAAAGGGACTGATTTCTGCTGTATTTCATTTTCTTTCACAGCTTTGCAAAGATTTTTTTTTTGTCACTGAGACTGGATTTTGTGCAGATTACAGTCTACCAGAGACTTCACTGAAAGCAGCAAGTATATTTCTCTTTGGAACGCGAGTTGAACTTGAGTCACGGTCCCTAGAGAACAAGAAAAGTTGAGTGTAGAGTTGTAATAGAATCGACTATACCCTTTGGCTGAAAGCCATTTGCCCAGAATCCACAGCCTACCTACTGGAATACGCAATGTAAACAACTGCTATTTAACAATTGCCTGGGATAAAACA